>NW_003315928.1:0-162988 GCF_000001405.40 Homo sapiens
TCGTAACCCAGCAAACCAAACAGCCCAAACCAAATCAAATAAATTTTTTTCTTTAACTTTTAAGTTTCGGGGTACATGTGCAGGATGTGCAGGTTTGTTACATAGGTAAACATATGCCATGGTGGTTTGCTGTACAGATCAACCCATCACCTAGGTATTAAGCCCAGCATCCATTAGCTATTCTTCCTGGTGCTCTCCCTCCTCCCCACACCCACTGAGAGGCTCCAGTGTGTGTTCCCCGACTACTGTGTCTGTGTGTTGTCATCATCCAGCTCCCACTTATAAGTAAGAACATGCAGTGTTTGGTTTTCTGTTCCTGCATTTGTTTGCACTGAAGATAACAGCTTCCAGCTCCATGTCCCTGCAAAGGACATATCTCATTCCTTTTTATGGCTGTGTAGTATTCCATGGTGTATATGTACCATATTTTCTTCATCCAGTCTATCACTGATGGGCATTTCAAATCGAAATTAAACACAAATTTCCTTTCACTCTTTGAAGAAATATCTGCTACCTTCTTAGGCAGAACAAAAGCATTTATTATTTTCTCTATTTATTCTTAATCCAGACTAGGCTATAGCTATACATTTCATAAACATGGCCTCTCAAATAAAAGAATGATTTGTTTCCTCAAGAGAAATTGTGTTGTTTTCTTAGAGTAATGGGCTCACACTTAGCCAGCTTTTAAAATACTATTTCCCCATGCACAACATGAGAAGGATAATTTCTATAATATGGACTCATCACAAGGATTTAGTGAGACATCATTTTTAGTCCAAGTAAGGAAGCTTGTCAGATGGCCGTGTGAACTTAGCCTATGAGCTTGTGAGGCTTTTCCTGGGACAAAGAAAGGATTCCACAAAAGAAGTACTAGTGACTCTTTGCAAGGACTCTGCATACCTACCATAAACCTTAGTAATTTTTTTGTGTGTGTGAGTACATACATGTACATGTGCAATTCACTCATTATTGATAATTTTTCATAATTATCTCCTATATCATAGAAATTTTGCTTCCCTTAGAACTGTTGTGAGGATTAAATTTATATAGAGTGTTTAGCATAATGTCTGGCATGTGGTAAATGCTCAATCAGTTGTAGTTACCTTTTCTACTATTTTTACTGCCTTTTATATGTGAAGGAAAGGGACAAATAGAAAAATTGAAATGATGGCCAATGAGATAAAAAAAAAAATAGAGCCAAAACTGTGCATAGACGCCACCCAAACAGATAATCCAGACTTAAATCTGCTCCAAGCAAAGAGAAAAAGAGGCAGAATTAGAAAAATCTGGTTTAGGATCCACTGTAGAAAATCGCAGTGGCCAAAATGCTTTATATTTGGAAATGAATTGGAAATTCTTGCTGGGTTGGGCAGATGGGTAAGCACAGCCTGAAATCAAGTAACACTGACCCAAACTAAGCAACTAATGAAGAAAACAAACTTTCCCCTTACATGGGAAAGAGTGATGTCAGTGAACATGTGTGGCTCATTTTACACTTTACAAAGCCCTTCCTTACTTTGCTTTGAGTTTTACTCAGCCTCATGAGATAAGGTAGAGAAAACATCAATATCTTCACTTTCCATGCAACAAAAGGGGCTATATAATCACCTGACAAGTTCTTCCTGCCCACTGCATAGACAAAACCAGTTCACTGAGACCATGGAATTATAGTAAAGAAACTGTTTAATTAACATGAGGCTGGCCATGTGTGGAAACTAGAGTTATCACTCACATTAGTCTCCCCTGAAAGCTCAAAGGTTAGGGTTTTTTAAGGATAGCCTGGTGGGCAGGGGGCTAGGGAATGGGGAATGTTGATTGGTTGGGGATGAAATCACAGGGGTATGGAAAAATGGTCCTTTTGTGCTGAGTCAGCCTCTGGGTGGGGACCACAGGACCACTTGAGTAATGAGTTGTGGGTCTGGGTGGACTCAGTCACCAGAAATGCAAAAGTCTACAAAGACATCTCAAAAGGTCAATCTGAGATTCTGTGATAGGGATGCTACCTACAGGAGTAACTGGGGAACTTACAAGTCTTGTGACCTCCTGAACGATGGCTGGTAATAGTTTAACTACGCCTGCATCTTAGCAGAATTCAGGCCCCTCTCATAATCCCAATCTTGTAGGCTTTCATTAGTTTTACAAAGGGGGTTACGTTTTGGGAGGGACTATTACTATCCTTGCTTTAAACTATAAACTAAATTCTTCTCATGGCTAGCCTGATCTATGCCCAGGAACGGGTGAGGACGGCCAGCCTATAAACCAGAAGCAAGATGAAGTCAGCCATGCTAGATTCCTCTCACTATCATAATCTTTGCAAAGGTGGTTTCAGCAGTGAAAGGATGAGGGAGTTGGCAATTCTCATATGCTGAGGAAGTATGTTTGATCATGAATGTCACCTTAGGATTCATCAGCAGAAGCTTTTCTTCATCAGTTCTTTCCAGGACCTTGCCTGTTTGGAAGAAAGAAAGGAGACCTAACTATTGTCCTTTTATTTCTTCTCTTTTGCTTTGACTTCCTTAAAAATTGGTTGAATTCATAATAGCCCTTAGAGGTGGAATGTATGTATGATTTAGAGACAAGATATACTACTACTTCACATAGATACTAAACCTAATCTATGTTTTCACTTACTTATTTTTGAGCATGATGACTCTTTTTTTCATGTCATGGTCTTTAAATCTTCAAGCAAAAGCAAAACTTTATTTTCTAAGATTATGTGCAGGAATCTTCCTAGTCATGTATAGGAGAAAATGCTTATTCTCTAATTATAGACTTTCCTTCCATGTGGAGGATCTCCTCCCTTGGTGGAGACACCTCTCTTGGAGGAGTGAAGATGGGCTGACTTAACTATAACTAGCAATATTGATTAGATAAACTGGGCATTTATAGCCCAGACCTTTCATCTCCAGAAGTGGAGCTTCCCACAGGAAGTGTACATGTCATTCTTTCTGTCAGCAGCTCTGATGTCAGGGGATGTTTTTAATAGGCTTGGATGTCCTCAGTGTGTAGACTATCACTTGAATATAAGCCACATGGGTGTAACTGAGGCCAATATTGGGAAAAATGCCTTTCTAAATACAGACTTTTTACACATTGGAAGCAGTACAGTATTTACTGCTTGTAAAGTGAAAGTCATCTGAGTTTTGTATATCCTACATAGACAGAATTAGATTGGTTGACCCAAATTCCATTATGAATTACGGGTAAGGGGTGAGGCGAGTGATGTGAGAGGGATACAGTTGGTATTCAGGGTCAAAAGTGATCAAACACCATTTTGTTTCCAGTTGACTCTAGGCTAGCTCATTATGAATAAGGGAAAACATTACCTTGGAGTTTGTTTCTTAGGTCTCAGGAATTCTTTATTAAGAGTTAGATTTTTTTTTAAGCCACTGTGGTACAGCACTGAAAGCGACTGTTTGCAAAAGAATGTAAATGCTATGTTACTAGATAGAGCCTGTACTCAATCCAGTCTTGGGGTGCCAGAATCTAGGACCTCAAAGGAGAAAGGGAAATTAGAAGGCTTTAAATATAGCAGATGGAAAAGAAAGCTTCCTCAAATAACATCTGGTGACAGTAGTTGCTGCTTTTCAAAAAAGACTGCATTATCCTCTGAGGGAAAAGACAATGTATTTTTCCCTTTAAAATATGGTGAATATATAGAGCCAAATATATAGTACCCAAATTAACCTTTTAATGAATTTAAAGTCCAAGTGAGCTGAAGCCCATAGATCACGTATTCTGAATACCTGGCATAGATTAACCAGTACCTCAGAAAAACTGAAGCCAGTGAGGAGTGCACCATGATTAGGAGCACAGGCTCTCAGGGCACCTGCCTAGGGTTTGCCTATTGGTGCTACCACTTACTAGTTAACTATATGACCTTGAGCAAATTCCTTGAGGGACTGGCTTGCCTTCTAAATGTGGTGGATGTAAGACCAGTGCATAGCCTAACTACTTAAACTTTAAGAATTCAGGTGCAATAAAGACTTGCCATTGCATTAAGTTAACTTTGTAAGTTAAGTTGTAGTTTCCTAAAGAAACTACTTGCATTTCAGTGCAAGACCATTGTGCTAAAGAACATCTCTGCTAAAGAGCTCCTAACTCCACCCAGGCATTGGGAACTCTGAAATTGAATTGACCAAAAGAAGAAATTGGGGAGAAATAATTTGGACTTCAGTTTCTTAGGACTTCTAACTCATGAGAGCAAAATAACTTAATTTGACACTTTAATTACTTGAGGTTTTAACTTTCATGGGAATTTAATTTTTAGACTCTATTCCCTAAGAGTTTGGTAATGAAAGTGTACATTAAAATTTGGGTATATTATTGTTGGCATTTTTAATATTGTTTTATCATATTCATCTTATTATTACAGTATCATGTTACTTGGGCCTGGGAAACAGGGAGTGGCAAGCATTCTGGATGCTCTTGTAAGACACAGGCACACTGCTGGATGGGAGATAAATCCTACCAAATGCAGGGGCCTGCCACAAAGATGAAGTTTTTAGGGATCAGGGATCTGGATACATGTTATGATTGACTTTCCTTTGTACCTCCCACCACTAAGAAATAGACATATACTTGTTATGAAAATTTTGGATATAGCACCAACCACATTTGGGAATATATCCAACTCATTTATCCTGTGACTCATAAGGCTACCAGTTTTGAATGCAGTATAAAGAGAGGTTTCTACAGCAGTATCAGTTTTCAGTACAAGTTCAGTACAGCTGATTGGGCCATATGACTCAGCAGATCTCAAGTTATTAGAGGTATCTGTGACAGGGTCTCTGGCAAACCCCAATAGGAGAGTCACAGAACAGACGCTTGGAGCAAAGCCATGCCATCTGCAGCAGAAAAGTATTCATTGTTTGAGATGCAGTTCCTGGCATGCTCTTCAGCTTCATGGAGGACATTAAGTGATTATACAAGTGAAGCTCATTGTGATGAGTTGGATATTATCAGACCTATTAAGAGGTAAAGTTGGGAGAACACAGTAGCAATCCATTGTATGATGAAAATAGTATACTCAGGACTTAGGCCTGAGCAGGTCCCCAGGGCACAGCTGAGTGAATAGGTTGCTGAGGCTCCCATGACACCTACCTCTTTTGTACTGATGCCTTTTCTTTAGCTCACTTGCCTATGGCTTCCAGGGGTTCACAATGACCAACTGATGGAGGAGGAAGTATCCAGGCCTGGATCACAGAAGGGTTGTAGTATGAACTGTTGCTGCACTACAGCCCCAATCAAGAGTGGCCCTAGGGCCGGGCGCGGTGGCTCACGCCTGTAATCCCAGCACTTTGGGAGGCCGAGGCGGGTGGATCATGAGGTCAGGAGATCGAGACCATCCTGGCTAACAAGGTGAAACCCCGTCTCTACTAAAAATACAAAAAATTAGCCGGGCGCGGTGGCGGGCGCCTGTAGTCCCAGCTACTTGGGAGGCTGAGGCAGGAGAATGGCGTGAACCCGGGAAGCGGAGCTTGCAGTGAGCCGAGATTGCGCCACTGCAGTCCGCAGTCCGGCCTGGGCGACAGAGCGAGACTCCGTCTCAAAAAAAAAAAAAAAAAAGAGTGGCCCTAGGAGACAGTGATGAGGGAAAATGCTCCCGTTGTGCAAAGTTTTGCAGAGTATACCTGACTATCAACTTGAATTGATGTAGTGAAGACATGTGTAGTCAGTTCTATATGATTGTGGACAAAATTTGCAAATCTCTGTATTTGCTATTGATGCCCACCAGAGGAGGCCCTAAACAACCAGGTTACATCAATGACTTCCCCAGTAGAAGCCAGTGAAGTTTTGTCTTTGGCCACCAGTATTTGTAAAATGAACTCATCATTAAAGTAGCCACGGTGAAAGAGAGGGAGGTTATCCATGAGCCCAACAACAAGGATCTTTTTTTCACTGAGGCTGATCCAACTGCCACTGCAGACTCTCCAAAATGTCAGCAGTTGAGACCAATGCTGAGCTCTTAGTGTACTACCATTCTTTGAGGAAATCTTCTAGTTCCTTGATGGCAAGTTGATTACTTTGGACCCCTTCCACCTGGAAGGGCTGGAATTCATTTCTTCTTCTATTAATATGGGTTCTGGGCATGGGTTTGCCTTCCTTGCATACAATTGCCTTAGTTGGCACCCCTGTCAGAGGACCTAGAGTGATTATGTGCTTATTGTTTGATTTATTATCACAGAAGCCTGCATCACCTTGGATTAAGCAACCAATTTTTTCAGGAAAAAAAGGTATGACAATGAGCACCTTACCACCATGGGATCCACGGATCTTAAAATACTCCACCCCATTCTGGAAGTGCTACCTGCTGGAATTGTTGCAATGGCCTCTTAAAGCACTGCAACATTTAGCTATCTTGGTGAATATACCCTTCATGGTTGGGCTACTTACTGTCTTTCATTGTGTGATATATATTTTGAACTAATGTCCATTATACAGGGTTGTATCCTCAATAGTTCTGGAAAGCAAGATATGGAAGAAGGAATGACTGCATTTCCATTATTCCCAGTGACCTATGTGGGGAATTGGTACTTCTCATCCCCACAGATTTAGTCTCTACTAAACCACAGATTCTGGTCTTCAGTGGGAGTAAGTGGAGGACATTTCTACTACGGGACACATTAATGGTTCCAGTAATCCTAAAGCTATGATTGCAGCTTGAACATTGTGGGTTCCTCATACATGTAAACAAGTAGGCCAAGAAGTGAGTTACTATACTACACTGACAAGGATAGATACCCATGATTACCATACAGAGATAAGATTATGGCTATGTAGGGGGACAGGAGGTGTGTCTAGAGCTCAGGGAATTCAATGAGCTACTCATAGGTGTGCTCAAGTCCATTATTCATTGTTAATGGGCAAGAAAGCCCAGTAACTACAATCTAGATTGAAAAAAGTGCTTGACTAAGGGCAAGGGGCATCTATTATGCATGGTATGAGGAAGGGACAAAAATATAATTTGTGGAAGTAGACACTTTAGTTTTTCCCACTGACCCTTCTGTTTTAAGTTTTTGTTTTGTAGAAATTGCAACCACCTTGGAGAAGCAGTGACAGTCTGGAGCTTATTTAAAATGTAGGGCATTTACAAGAAATATAATGTAGCAGGTGTTAATGCCCTACCCCTATCTCCTCAAACCATAACTTCAGTTGACTTCTAGCCACTAGCATCCACTGAAGGCTTTCTGTGATGATCGAAGGTCACTCTGCTGGCCTCAGCTGAGCAGCAAGCTAGAAGCACTGGAGAAGTACATGATTCTGGAAGGAGCCATCAACCAACATCTGATGAGAGTTGATGTGTTCCTGCCCTATCTCCCTCACCTCACATGTGGAATAACTCTGAGATGCCACCTCACATGTGGAATAACTCTCAGCTGGAGTTCCCCTGCAGGTTTAAACTTCATTTACTCACAATAGAACATTTGCTTGATACCTGCCCCCCCCCCCCCCGCCCTGACACACACACTTAGTGGCTGCTTCCCTGACTGTGTTAGTTAGGGTTCTCTAAAGGGACAAGACTAACCGGCTAGAGGTATATATGGAGGGGAGTTTATTAAGGAGAATGGACTCACACGATCCCCCAAAACTCAAAAGTAGAGAAGCCAATAGTGCAGCCTTCAGTCTGTGGCCAAAGGCTGGAGAGCCCCTGGTAAATCACTGGTGTAAATCCAAGAGTCCAAAAGCTGAATAACTTGGAGTCTAATGTTCGAGGGCAGGAAGGATCTAGCATGGGAGAAAGATGGAGGCCAGAAGACTTAGCCAGTCTAGTCCTTCCACGTTCCTCTGCCTGCTTTTATCCTAGCCAAGCTGGCAACTGATTACATGGTGCCCACCCAGATTGAGGGCAGGTCTGCCTCTCCCAGTTCACTGACTCAAATATTAATCTCATTTGGCAACACCCTCACAGACACACCCAGGAACAATACTTTGCATCCTTCAAGCCAATGAAGTTGACACTCAGTATTAACCATCACACCGTCCTGTCTCACTTCCTCCTTTCCTATCAGTGCTTCCTGGGATTATCTCCCAAATAAAACTCTTACACTTAAATCTTTGGCTTGTGGTTTGCTTCTATGCTTCTTAGAGAACCTAAACCAAGACAATACACAAAATGAATCACATAATCAAATGTGCAAGAGCTTTCTCTTATTTTTGTGAGTTGTTTATACCATAAGTTGTTTAAGTGAAGATGGATAGAGTTAACTGTGCTTGGAAATTTGATAAGGACCTGAACAACAGGAAGGTGTCTATTTGCCTAGATCAAGAGTCAGCTTACTTTTCTGTAAAGACCCAGATGGTAAATATTTTAGGCTTAGGGGCCTAAATTGATACCTTCAGTTTTGGATATTATTCTTTGTGCATTTTGTTTTTGTTACTTTATAATCCTTAAAAATATAAAAATGATTCTTAGCTCACAGGCTGCATAAAGCAGTCCATGAGTCTAATTTGGTCCACAGGCTATTGCTTGCTAGACAGAAACAAGTAAAAATATGGAGATGCTGGTTTCACAACATAACCTGGCCTCAAATGTGAGAAATTATGTTTTAAACAAGTTCTCATTCTTCAATATTGATTTATATTTACACAGATAGCCAAGGGTATTGGCTGTGGGACAAGATGCGCTTAAATCTTGTAATGATCTAAGTTTAAATAAGACAGAAATGTATGTTCTCCTGCAAATGTTCTCCTCCAAAACCACATGAAGGGAAAAAGTGCTTGGCACAGCCTTCTTTTGTGGGGGAGGATTATTATTTTAACAAAAACATTTGTAAAATAGTTCTGGAGACTCAACAAACCAAAGAGGTAATTGACTTTGCCCTCAGGAGTCATTCTGCACCTTCAGCCTACACCCCAAATATATTCATATTTTAGAGCAGAATTTTAGCTTTTATAACCTTCACAATGTGTTCACAGCATTAAATATATTGAGGGAGGAAAGTCCAAATGGGGTGATTTATTTGAGAAATTCCCAGATTGAGGGAAGGTGTCTCTTTGAAATGGTTGCCTCAGGGAAAGAGTATATTGTGATATATTTAGTAAATGATGTTAAGGAAAACTTCAGTGCACTATATAAATTGGGGATTGGGGAGGGAATAGAAAGAGAGAAAAATGTTTTCAATGAAGGAGATTTATGTACCAAGAAATAGTTTGGAAAAGAAATATTTTCTTTTGTTTCCTTAACCCTGATAGATTTAAAGGCTTTGGAAAGCTGAGGCAGAAAATTATTTTCACCTTTTCTGCTTTTACACTACTCCTTACTGTTTCTCCATAGTATATCACATGGCAATGTATTTTCCTGTTTCCATTTCTTGCTCATAACACAAAATAATATGAATGTCTGAACTCTGTTGCTTGAAGACAAGCATAGTTTGAAATCACATCCATTCCTCTTAGAAAGTGTTTAGCTGTATTGGTCCTCATGAGAACTAGTAGCTGTTGTCTAGAGCCTAAGAGAAGAAATTGTGTTTCTGCTTAGAAGTCCTACTTTCTGTGGCAAAAGGAGTTAAGACTCAATATCCCTTTATGAATAAGGCAGTCTGAAGCATCAGTACTTGGACTTTGAAGTGTTTAGCTGACTCAATTCATCCTTAGTAATGGGGGATCAGAAGAATATGATGGTTAAAATTATCAGAAAATGTGGAAATCACTGAGTCTGATATACCTCAGTTTCTGTCTCAAAGCTATTAATGTGTAGCCAAGTGGATGTGCTGGATACCTGGCTCCTACCTGAGTTTCTGATGGAGATAACATGATCATGGAATAAGACAAAAAGAAATCAAAGAGGAAAGAGAGAACTGCAAAGAATATGAATTTCTTATTACTAGATAATCAACCTCTGAGCAATTGAAGGTTAGCTGTGTGTGACTTTGGGAAGGGAATTTCATGATTTCCAAACTTTCTTTTCTTCCTAATTGAGGAACCTTGTTTACGTCATGGTAAGCCTAAGTGAATCAAGGGTTTTGGGCTTTATAGAGATTATGATAATTCCTACAGATCACTAAGGAAAAGTATTTACTATTTATCTCATATCCTTGAACCTCACAACATGTCAAAGCTATTTATAGAGGGTCTTCTATGCTCAGCCTAGGATAAAATGCACTAAAAAGACAGAATATGTAGGCCCGCTGCGGTGGCTCATGCCTGTAATCCCAGCACTTTTGGAGGCCGAGGTGGGCGGATCACGAGGTCAGGAGATGGAGACCATCCTGGCTAACACGGTGAAACCCCGTCTCTACTAAAAATACAAAAATTAGCCGGGTGTGGTGGCGGGCGCCTGTAGTCCCAGCTACTCGGGAGGGTGAGGCAGGAGAATGGCGGGAACCCGGGAGGCGGAGCTTGCAGTGAGCCGAGATCGCGCCACCACACTCCAGCCTGGGCAACAGAGCGAGACTCCATCTCAAAAAAAAAAAAAAAAAAAAAAAAAAAATATATATATATATATATATATTGCCCTGATGGAGTTGATGATCTTCTTAGAGAGGGATACTTTCACATTTCTGAGCCTTATAAATGGCGTTGACTTTGCCTGTTCCTGTTTCTAGCTGTTAACCTGGAAAATGCTTACTCATTCTTCTAGATGGAACTCACATGTCACTTCCTCTTTGAAGCTTTCCATAAACCCAGTGATGCAGGGCAGCTGAGCCCCAAAATTGGGGATTAGCCCAGGAGAGTTCTTGGTTTTGCTCAGGAAAGAATTCAGTGGAATTCTGCTGACAGTAGAAGAAAGCAGGTTCACTGAAGCAGCAGTGTACAGCAGAGTGACTGCTCCTTGTGGAGCAGGGTAACCTGTAGGCAGTGCACGCAGACTAGCAGTGTTTGAGCTGTTCGCTAGCAGTATTTATAACCATTTTTAATTACATGCAAATTAAAAAGTGGGTCATTCAGAAATTTCTAGAAGAGAGGCAGTAACTTCAGGTTGTTGCCATGGCATTTGTAAACTGTCATGGTGCTGACGGAAGTGTCTGATGCTGATGAGCAGTAAGGGCAACTAGAGGTTGCCTTTGGAGCCTTTGCTAGCTTCGGCCTGTTTCTTTATTTCATCATGTCAGGACTGGGAAATACGTCCTGCTGGTCTCTTCCCATTCAGCAGTGAGTTTTCTTTCCTTTGTACTCTCATAGTTTTGTGAGACTCTGGCTATATGACACAGTCATCGTCCATTTTCTCGTCAATTTTCTCTGGACCATAGGCACTTTGCAGGCAACAAAATTGTTGTGTGTATTCTAGCACCTCACACAGAGCCTGAAATAGTGTGGATTCAGTTAATGACTAACAGTCCAGAGGCCAAATGTGATCTGCACACATGTTTGGTTTTGCCTGAGCACTGTGGGACTACATAGTTCTTTAAATTGTTTTAAATTAATTGCCAGAAAATTCAAATGTATGGTATCTCTTGAGAAAATGGAAGATCCAGCTTTATTAGTCTTTTTCTCTTATATGGGATGGTTGGCTGGAGTTGGGAAGTGGTTATTCCACATAAAAAAGGGTAAGTGTTTTCCAACCTGCCCTAATTCCCAGCACTCCCTAACATCAACTTGACCTAGATTGACCTAATTTACTTATTTATATTACCTGCCTGCTCCCTGTAGATATTGGAGATCACACTCCTGTGTCACAGAACTACCCAGTACTAAACTTGTCCCTTCTTTCTCAAAGTCATCCTAATTTTTACTGCCCGCATCCAGGAAGTAATCTTTACATCTTTTGAACTCCTCCTAGTTCAGTGGCCCTTAAAGAGGGGAGATGTGCATATCAGAATCACTTAGGATGTTCTTTTGAAATACCATTTGAAAATTTTTTTTGAGATGGAGTCTCACTCTGTCATCCAGGCTGGAGTGCAGTGGCACAATCTTGGCTCACTGCAACTTCTGCCTCCCGGGGTCAAGCAATTCTCCCACCTCAGCCTCCCCAGTAGCTGGGATTACAGGTGCCCACCACCACGCCCAGCTAATTTTTGTATTTTTAGTAGAGACAGGGTTTCGCCATGATGGCCAGGCTGGTCTCGAACTCCTGACCTCAAGTTATCTGCCTGCCTTGGCCTCCCAAAATGCTGGGATTACAGGCATGAGCCACCACACCTGGCCTTGAAATATCATTTTTAAATCTTAAAAGAAACATATGTTTAAAAATCCCCTGCATATATCACTTGTACTCACTTTAAGAACCACTGAATTTGGTCGTTTATTTATCATTTTCTTTATTGTTATTAGGTAGATCATTTATCTCCATTACTAGATTGTAAGCCCCTTGAAGGCAGGATCGTGTTTCATTTTATTTCTACCCTGAAAAGTGTATTGAACATGGCAGACAGACTCTCTCTCTCTCTCTCTATATATATGTATATATATATATGTGTGTGTGTGTTTGTGTGTGTGTGTGTATAAAATTTCCATTTTCATTTTAGATTCAGGGAGTACATGTGGAGGTTTGTTACAAGGATATATTGTGTGATCCTAAGTTTTGAGCTTCTATTGATCCCATCACCCAGAGATGAGATGGTGAACATAGTGCCCGACGGGAAGTTTTACAGCTGTTGCCTCCCTCCCTCTCTCCCACCCTTCTTTTGGAGTCCCCAGTGTCTATTGTTCCCATCTTTATGTCCATGTGTACCCAATAATAAATACGTTTGAATAAAAACCTTAAGTACACTAGATAAATTCAGAGAAAGAAGACCCTGAATTGTCAGAGGTGATTATACATGATTTCATGACGTCTGGTGGACTCGACCATTACCAAAACAACAATACTCCTATGGTCAATTCTAAAGGACCATCTGTTTTAGATGCAACTCCCATGTAATGGTCTATCTAAAAGGACTAACTTCCAAAGAGAGTATTTAAGGCACTGAAAGAATCTAATGTATTCAAAGAAAAATGCTCTATTAAAGAATCTGAATCTTCACATTATGAAATATTTGACATTCACCCTGCATCTTCATTGGAATATCTGTCTTTACTGAAAAAGAAGAAAAAATCAAGTACCGGATGTCACTGAGAAGAAAGGACCCACTGGAATATTTTATATACAGTTGTCCCTCGGTGTCTGTAAGGGATTGGTTCTAGGACCATTTGCATACCCGAATCCAGTCATTCCCAAATCCCGTCATACTCAGGCCTGGGGGAAACCATATAAATGAAAAGTTGGCACGGTTTCAAGGTTTTGCATCCTGTGAATACTGTATTTTCCTGCTTTGTGTCAAAAAATCTACTTAATCCACTTATAAGTGGACCTGTACAGTTCAGACTTGTGGTGTTCAAGGGCCAACTGTATATTCTTCTTGTCTACGTTGTTCATGACTAGGACCTTAAGGATACATAGATAGCTGAAACTGGATTTATGTACCTCAAATCACATGAATATTGCAGTTTTTTAAAAAATGAAGAGTGCCTTGTTTCTATTAAATTCTAATTATGACTACCATAACAGTAAATGAAGGCTCTCTAATTACCACAAGAGGGAGATATATAAATAACAGGTAGGCACTTAACTTGCTTCTGTTCGGTACTTCAGCTTGATGAGTTCCATATTCTAGACTCCTCTGAGGAAAGAGAGCAAGAGAGAGGTTTTATACTTTACGTTATTCCCTTATTATGAGATACCAACTATCTTTTCTGCTCTATAATTACTTCATTCTGCTCTAATGGATTCAACATTCATACCCTGTTTGTACGTTTACTAGTATTTATGAGTTTCCCTCACTTTACGAGCAAGTCTGATAGGAGAGAATTGTAGCTCTGCTCAACAGATTCATTTTGTCAACATACATTTGTTGTGTATGTTAGACCCTGAGCTAGGCAGAGGGGCTATAAAAAGAACGATAAAATTTTTTCATCATGGACGTCTTAGTCTAATGGGGGTGTGCCAACACCAAGACACGTGATGAATAGGTTTTTACACACTAAGTCATTAAAGAATACGGAGGGAAGGAGGTGATTGCCTCTGACTGGGAATGTCAGAGGGGGTAATGTTTAAACTGGGCCATGAAAGATGAATGGTAGTTCCACAGATTTAAAATGAAGGAAAAGGTATTTCTGGGATATTGTTGGCAAAAGTAGAGGAACTCCAAAGTGGAGCCTGCTTGGAAAAATGCAAGTCACCACCCATGGCTGGACTGAAGGATGCACAGAAGGAATAATGGGAGAATGATAGAGGAGATTTGAAAAATAGTTTCAATACCCATAAAGAGCAGGAAATTAGGCCCTGGGGTTGCACCATAAGCATAGTGGTGATGACTACATGTTCACGCTGTCTAATCTCCAGCTCTTTGTGGGTATTAAGACTATCAAGAGGTAAATATGGGGCTTTGCCTTATCCAGTTCTAGCCTCCATTGATAAAACCTAAAAATTTAACTTCTCTGACTCTCTTGCAGTAGATAGACTCCCCTAATCAGATGTTCTTTCATGAGATTTGGAAAGCGGAAATGCTTTCCAATTTCCACTTTTAGCTATGTCTGTTGGCAAGCATTTCCTGGTGTCTAATCTTTAGCTCTGTGTGAGTATTGAGAGGCTGTTGTGGTGGAGATTCTATTATTACTGACTTGAAATTATTAGTATTTTTTATCTTTGAGTTTGTGTTTTGTGAGTGAAGTCTGATGTGGGTTGGGCACAGGGAGCGATCAAAGCCTCAGCTCAATCTAGGTGTCTTGAATCTCTGGGAGGATTCCTTGGATACCTGTTCTTCCTGCCGCCTGGGACACCAGATCTTATCCTTTCCTTTCCCATCTTTGCCTAAGCTACTGCTGCCGTGCCTTATTCCCACCCAGGCAGGTGCATGCAGTGCCATGGCAGCACAGTGGGCGACTTTGTGGGATGGGCCTCCTGGACACCCCGTTCAGGTACTGAGTGTAGAGATGCCATCCCAGAGCTAGGTCTTGGAGTCAGGAACCTTAGGTATCTACCTAGTGCTCTATTCTACTGCAGCTGAGCTGGGATCCAAGCCACAAGACAAAGTCTCTCCCATTCTTCCCTCCCCCTTCCTCAAGCAGAGGAGTATCTTTGTGGCCACTGCTGCCCTAGGCCTATGGAGAATATTTCCTGACTACCGCCAGTGTTCTTTCATGGCCCAAAGTCTCTTCAGTCAGCTTGTGATGAATGCTGCCAGGCCTGGGTCTCTCCCTTTAAGGCTGGGGGTTTCCTCTGGCTATGAACAGGTCCAGAAATGCTGTCCAGGAGCTCAGGCCTGGAATGGGGAACCCCAGGAATCCCAGAACCTACTTGGTTGTCTTCCTCACTGTGGCTGAGCTGTTACCTAAGCTGCAAGACAGCTGCCTTTACTCTTCTCTCTCCTTTTTTCAAGCAGGAGCCCTTCCCCATTTTTACCGTAGCTGGGAATATACTGGGTCACACCTGAAGCCAGCACAACTTTCAGTGTCATCCAAGGCCCACAACAAGTACTGCCTGTCTACCACTGCTGATTATTCAGGGGCCAGGGGCTCTTTATTCAGCAGGTAATGAATCCTGCCAGGACTGGGTTCTTTCCCTCAAGGAAAGAGGTTCTCTTCTGGCCGAGAGGGTGTCTAGAAATGTCATCTTGGAGCTAAGGCCTGGAGTGGGGGCCTCAGGAATCTGCCTCATGTCCTATTCTACTGTGGCTGAGCTGATATCAATGTTACAAGACAAAGTCTTCTTTACTCTCCTATCTCCTCTCTTGAAGCCAAAGGAAGGAGCATCTCTCAAAGCTGTGAGCTGTGCTGCCTGGGTTTGGGGGATGGTGACACAAGCACTCCGATGATTGCCTTGGCTGTTGTCTTACTAGGTCCCATGCACCTCAAGTCCACTGGCTCTGAGCCCAGCACAGCACTGGGAATTGCAGTCCTTGTGGACTAGACTACCTTTCAAGTTTATTTAGGACCTCAGAGAATTTTAGCCATTGGTGGTGGGGCCTGCTGGAACCCAGATTCTGATGACTAGGATAGATTATTTGTCTCTGGCTGAGGCTCATCTCAATTATCCCTCTGTGGGCAATGGATGAGTGCCACCCCATGTTGCTTTCTGCTGTGACAGGGTAGCACTGAGTTCCAATGCAACCTTCCACAATCACTGTACTCTGTCTCCTCCAAGCACACAGATTCTCTTTATGGACCACGCAGGCACTGCTGGGGCTTGGAGGAGTGGTAGTGTAGGCAATTCAAGACTGTCTTTCCTACCTTTTTCAGCACATCTTTCTCTAATGTGATGTTAAAACCAGGTACTATATTCCTCATCTGATTTTGGGTTCTCGTGAAGTGCTTTTTTGGTATGACAAGTTGTTCAATTTGTTATTCCTGTTGGGGTGAGGGAATGATCTCTGGAGGTTTCTGTTTGGCAATATTGTTCTATCTCCTCTGTCTGCTACTAATTTTTGTACATTGATTTTGCATCCTGAAGTTTTACTGAAGTAGTTTATCAGTGCAAGCAGCCTTTTGGTGAAGTCTTTTGGGTTTTCTAGGTATAGAATTATCATTAGCAAAGAGAGATAGTTTGATTTCTTCTTTTCCTATTCGGGTTCTTTTTATTTTTTTTCTTGTGCCTGATTGCTGTAGCTAGGACTTCCAGTACTATGTTGAATAGGGGTGGTGAGAGGGAGCATCCTTGTCTTGTTCCAGGTCTCAAGGGGAATGCTTCCAGCTTTTGCCCATTCAGTATGATGTTGTCTGTGGGTTTGACATACATGGTTCTTATTATTTTCAACTATGTTCCTTTGATGCCTAGTTTCTTGAGGGTTTGTGTCATGAAGGAATGTTGGATTTTTCTGCATCTATTGAGATGATATAATTTTTGTCTTAAATTCTGTTTATGTGGTGAATCACATTTATTGATTTGAGTACGTTGAACTAAACTTGCCTTCCAGGAATGAAGCCTACTTGATTGTGTTAAATTAACTATTTGATGTGCTGCTGGATTTGATTTGCTAGTATTTTGTTGAGAATTTTTTCATCTACATTCATCAGAGATATTGGCCTGTCATTTTTCTTTTTTCTTATGTCTTTGCCAGGTGATGCTGGCTTTGCCTAATGACTTAGAGAGGTATGATTTTGATTTTTTTGAATTTGTTGAAACTGGCTTTATGGCCAAGCATGTGGCCTATCTTGGAGTATTGTCTTTGTGTGTATGAGAAGAATGTGTATTCTATGGTTGATGGATGGAGTATTCTGTAGATGTCTATTAGGTCCAATTGATCACATGTCGATTTAAGTCCAGAATTTCTTCATTAGTTTTGTGCCTTGATGATCTATCTAACACTGTCAGTGGGGTGTTGAAATTCCCCACTACTATTGTGTGGCTAAGTCTTTTCAAAGGTCTAGAATTAGTTGTTTTATGAATGTAGGTTCTCTAATGTTGGTTACATATATATTTAGGATAATTAAGTCTTGTTGAATTGAATGCTTTATTATGTAATGCCCTTTGTCCTTTTTTTTACAGGTGTTGGTTCAAAGTCTGTTTTATCTAGTAGAAAAGTAGTGACTTCATGCTCTTTTTTGTTTTCTGTTGTGTGATAGGTCCTTCTTCAACCCTTTACTTTGAGCCTATGGGTGTTATTACATGTGAGATGGGTCTCTTGAAGATAGCAGATGGATGGGTCTTATTTTTTTTTAATCTAGCTTTCAACTGCTTTTTCAGTGGGGCCTTTAGACAATTTACATTCCAGGTTAATATTGATATGTAAGGTTTTGATCCTACTGTGAAGTTGTTAGCTGATCACTGTAGTTTCCATTTTGCAGTTGCTTTATAGAGTAAGTGAGCTATATACTTAAATGTGTTTTTGTAGTAGCAGGTATTTTTTCTTTTGTTTCTATGTTTAGAACTCCCTTAAATATGTCATGTAAGGCTGGTCTAGTGGTAACAAATTCCCCTCATGCTTGCTTGTCTGGAAAAGATTTTATTTCTCCTCAACCTATGAAGCTTAATTTGGCAGGATATAAAATTCTTGGTTGGAATTTCCTCTTTTAAAGAATGCTGAATATAGGCCCCCCAAATCTCCTGGCTTGTAAAGTTTCTGCTGAGAAGTCTGCTGTTAGCCTGATGGGGTTCTCTTTGTGTGTGATCTGATCTTTTTCTCCAGCTGCCTTTAAGATTTTCTCTTTAGCATTGACACTGGACACTGTGGTGACAATATGCCTTGTGATGTTCACTTTGTATAGTATCTCACAGGTGTTCTCTGGATTTCTTGTATCTGGATATTTACTTCTTTTGAAAGATTAAGAACATTTCCTTGAATTGTTTTATTAAATATGTTTTTCAGGTTGTTGACTTTTCCCCCTTCTCTCTCAGGAATGCTAATAATTCATAGGTTTGTTTGCTTTTCTTAATCCTATATTTTGTGAGGATTTTCTTTATTAAAAAAAATTTTTTTTTCTGATTTAGTTAGCTCAAAAAAAAAAAAAAAACCCCTGTATTCAAGCTCTGAGATTCTTTCTTCTTGGCTCAGTCTATTGATAAATATTACAGTTATGTTTTGAAATTATTTGAGTTTTTCAATTCCAGACCTCTGATTAATTTCTTTTTAGGATGCTTATCTCTTTCTTCATTTCTTGGATTGCTTTAGCAGTTTCTTTGTATTGATTTTCAATATCGGTTTGAACCTCATTGAACTTTCCTGCAATCCGTGCTTTGAATTCTTTGTCTTTTCTGAGTTTCCTTTTTGTTTAGGGACCACTGCTGGAGAGCTAGTGTGATTTTTTTTTTTGATGGTGTCATTATATTCAGATTCTTCATGATGTCAGAATTCTTGCACCAATTCTTTCACATCTGGAGACATGACAATTCTAATTCTTGTAATTATTTTCATGTAGGTAAGATTTTTTCTTTTTTTTCCCCCTATGCTATTACTGTGTCTTATCTTTCCCTTTCCCCTACTTTTACTGAGTAGAGTCTTTTGGCTTTGCTTTTATATCTCTTTGTATTTCCTTTGGCAGGTTTTATATTTGGCTAAGTGGTTCAAGCTACAAGCTGGTAGATGATGCTTATGGGTAAAAGCTGGCTGCAGCCAACATGGCTGGGTATATATTTGATTCTTGATTACCAGGAGAATCTCTCTATTGCCTCAGGCAATGGACTGATTCATGGAGTGCACAATGCTCTAAGCTCCCTGGTATGTTGGGTGAAGGGGCTGTCGGGGGCAAGACGGTGGGGCAAGATGGTGGGACAAGACTGCAAAGTCTCACCTACAGGTCTGCTAATGGCAGGCACAAGCACCAGCACTGAGGAAGAATCCAGTGAGTGGCCACCAAGAGCCCTGAGGTGTGCCTAGGCATGGAACTGGGAAACTCCCCTCAGTCCCAAGTTCTCTGCACAGGGATTGGGGGCAGCCTAAACTCATCCAGGTGAGTAGGTGCTCCAGATGCTGTAGATCTGCCTGGGTGTGGAGCAGAGGGGATCCCCTATACCAAGATCTTTGCACAGAAGAGGTGGGTAACTCAGGCTGCTGAACAAGGCAAGCAAGTGACCTGAATCCCTGCAGATCTGCCTATGTAGGTAGCATAGAGGGCCCTCTTTCACTAGGATCTCTGCACAGGAAGGGTGTGGTGGCTTAGGCTCCTTATCCAGGAGACCTGGTGCTCTGAATGCCTGAAGATCTGCCTTGGCGTTGACCAGAGAGAGCCTCTCTGTGCCAGGATCTCTGCACAGGAAGGGTGGGGTGGGTCAGGCAGCTGATTTAGGTGAGTAGGAAAAGCTTGGAAATCTGCCTGCACATGGAGTGGAGAGGTGCCCCCAAAACAAGATCTGTACACAGGAAGGGTGGGGTGACTTAGGCTGCTGACCAAGGAAAGCAAACACTCTGAATGCTTGGAGATCTGCCTGAATGTGTATTGGTGAGGGCCCTCTTGCACCTGTATCTCAGCACAGGAAGGGTGGGTCAGCTTGGGCTGCTTATCCAGGTGAGTGGATGTTCTGGATGCCTGCAGATCTGCCTGGGTTGCTGTGGAGAGGGTCTCATTGCACCACGATCTGTGTCCAGAAAGAGTGAGGTGGCATGGGCTGCTGAATCAGATGAGTGGGTGCTCTAAATGCCTGGAGATCTGCCTGGGCATGAAGCAGAGACGGCTTCTCTGAACCAGGATCTTGGCACAGGATGGGTGGAGCATGTCAGGCTGTTGATCAAGCTGAGTGGGTGCTCTGAATGCCCAGAAATCTGCCTGGGGGGTAGAGCAGAAAGAGCCCTGCTATATCACAATCTATGCCAGGTAGGGCAGCTGAGGTTGCTGGTCCAGGCAACATGTATATACAAGAGCCTTCAGAATGAAGAACCCAACTCCCAATGAGGTACAGAAGCTTACATACCATTTTCAGGTTACAGAAAGAATGGAGGCTCAGAGAATGGCCACACACAGTGGGTAAGACAGGTCATGGAATGGAGAAAGAAAGAGGCCTGGCTAGCAAATGTGGCCTTGTTATGTACGTAAAATCTCACAGGTAGCAGCCCTCAGAGAGAATAAATGATAATTTTTTTTTCCAGAACTTTAAAGATGTCAGACTCTCAGTTAATCTATTCTCACTCTGGGAAAGGCCTAGAAAGGGAAGTCTTGGTTGCATTAATGGAGATTCTTTACAGATGCAAATTTCCCCCACAAAATTTCATGGCCAATTGAGTCTGCTGGCCCTGTGGCAGTCATTTTAAAATATGTCAAAGAAATGTATTTCGGGGTAAAATATTTTGATTTTCTTCAACTCCTTATCATGCCTACAAGATACGACTAAAACAAGAATTGGTGTATGTGACACAATTCTTTTACTCGATGTATGTGGAAAACTGAGGGGGATTTTCACGCATAATTGGAGACATCTGTATGTGAAAATCAATGTTCATTGTTTCACCAGTTTATCAATTATTCCTTTCCACAAGAAATAATCACTGAAAACTTTTTTCTGTACCATCTGCTTCCTTGTCTCTGGGGTGCATCCTTCCCTGAGGACCCGTTCCTGGCTTTTTGCTTCTCTAAGACCTGTACTCGTAACCCAGCAAACCAAACAGCCCAAACCAAATCAAATAAATTTTTTTCTTTAACTTTTAAGTTTCGGGGTACATGTGCAGGATGTGCAGGTTTGTTACATAGGTAAACATATGCCATGGTGGTTTGCTGTACAGATCAACCCATCACCTAGGTATTAAGCCCAGCATCCATTAGCTATTCTTCCTGGTGCTCTCCCTCCTCCCCACACCCACTGAGAGGCTCCAGTGTGTGTTCCCCGACTACTGTGTCTGTGTGTTGTCATCATCCAGCTCCCACTTATAAGTAAGAACATGCAGTGTTTGGTTTTCTGTTCCTGCATTTGTTTGCACTGAAGATAACAGCTTCCAGCTCCATGTCCCTGCAAAGGACATATCTCATTCCTTTTTATGGCTGTGTAGTATTCCATGGTGTATATGTACCATATTTTCTTCATCCAGTCTATCACTGATGGGCATTTCAAATCGAAATTAAACACAAATTTCCTTTCACTCTTTGAAGAAATATCTGCTACCTTCTTAGGCAGAACAAAAGCATTTATTATTTTCTCTATTTATTCTTAATCCAGACTAGGCTATAGCTATACATTTCATAAACATGGCCTCTCAAATAAAAGAATGATTTGTTTCCTCAAGAGAAATTGTGTTGTTTTCTTAGAGTAATGGGCTCACACTTAGCCAGCTTTTAAAATACTATTTCCCCATGCACAACATGAGAAGGATAATTTCTATAATATGGACTCATCACAAGGATTTAGTGAGACATCATTTTTAGTCCAAGTAAGGAAGCTTGTCAGATGGCCGTGTGAACTTAGCCTATGAGCTTGTGAGGCTTTTCCTGGGACAAAGAAAGGATTCCACAAAAGAAGTACTAGTGACTCTTTGCAAGGACTCTGCATACCTACCATAAACCTTAGTAATTTTTTTGTGTGTGTGAGTACATACATGTACATGTGCAATTCACTCATTATTGATAATTTTTCATAATTATCTCCTATATCATAGAAATTTTGCTTCCCTTAGAACTGTTGTGAGGATTAAATTTATATAGAGTGTTTAGCATAATGTCTGGCATGTGGTAAATGCTCAATCAGTTGTAGTTACCTTTTCTACTATTTTTACTGCCTTTTATATGTGAAGGAAAGGGACAAATAGAAAAATTGAAATGATGGCCAATGAGATAAAAAAAAAAATAGAGCCAAAACTGTGCATAGACGCCACCCAAACAGATAATCCAGACTTAAATCTGCTCCAAGCAAAGAGAAAAAGAGGCAGAATTAGAAAAATCTGGTTTAGGATCCACTGTAGAAAATCGCAGTGGCCAAAATGCTTTATATTTGGAAATGAATTGGAAATTCTTGCTGGGTTGGGCAGATGGGTAAGCACAGCCTGAAATCAAGTAACACTGACCCAAACTAAGCAACTAATGAAGAAAACAAACTTTCCCCTTACATGGGAAAGAGTGATGTCAGTGAACATGTGTGGCTCATTTTACACTTTACAAAGCCCTTCCTTACTTTGCTTTGAGTTTTACTCAGCCTCATGAGATAAGGTAGAGAAAACATCAATATCTTCACTTTCCATGCAACAAAAGGGGCTATATAATCACCTGACAAGTTCTTCCTGCCCACTGCATAGACAAAACCAGTTCACTGAGACCATGGAATTATAGTAAAGAAACTGTTTAATTAACATGAGGCTGGCCATGTGTGGAAACTAGAGTTATCACTCACATTAGTCTCCCCTGAAAGCTCAAAGGTTAGGGTTTTTTAAGGATAGCCTGGTGGGCAGGGGGCTAGGGAATGGGGAATGTTGATTGGTTGGGGATGAAATCACAGGGGTATGGAAAAATGGTCCTTTTGTGCTGAGTCAGCCTCTGGGTGGGGACCACAGGACCACTTGAGTAATGAGTTGTGGGTCTGGGTGGACTCAGTCACCAGAAATGCAAAAGTCTACAAAGACATCTCAAAAGGTCAATCTGAGATTCTGTGATAGGGATGCTACCTACAGGAGTAACTGGGGAACTTACAAGTCTTGTGACCTCCTGAACGATGGCTGGTAATAGTTTAACTACGCCTGCATCTTAGCAGAATTCAGGCCCCTCTCATAATCCCAATCTTGTAGGCTTTCATTAGTTTTACAAAGGGGGTTACGTTTTGGGAGGGACTATTACTATCCTTGCTTTAAACTATAAACTAAATTCTTCTCATGGCTAGCCTGATCTATGCCCAGGAACGGGTGAGGACGGCCAGCCTATAAACCAGAAGCAAGATGAAGTCAGCCATGCTAGATTCCTCTCACTATCATAATCTTTGCAAAGGTGGTTTCAGCAGTGAAAGGATGAGGGAGTTGGCAATTCTCATATGCTGAGGAAGTATGTTTGATCATGAATGTCACCTTAGGATTCATCAGCAGAAGCTTTTCTTCATCAGTTCTTTCCAGGACCTTGCCTGTTTGGAAGAAAGAAAGGAGACCTAACTATTGTCCTTTTATTTCTTCTCTTTTGCTTTGACTTCCTTAAAAATTGGTTGAATTCATAATAGCCCTTAGAGGTGGAATGTATGTATGATTTAGAGACAAGATATACTACTACTTCACATAGATACTAAACCTAATCTATGTTTTCACTTACTTATTTTTGAGCATGATGACTCTTTTTTTCATGTCATGGTCTTTAAATCTTCAAGCAAAAGCAAAACTTTATTTTCTAAGATTATGTGCAGGAATCTTCCTAGTCATGTATAGGAGAAAATGCTTATTCTCTAATTATAGACTTTCCTTCCATGTGGAGGATCTCCTCCCTTGGTGGAGACACCTCTCTTGGAGGAGTGAAGATGGGCTGACTTAACTATAACTAGCAATATTGATTAGATAAACTGGGCATTTATAGCCCAGACCTTTCATCTCCAGAAGTGGAGCTTCCCACAGGAAGTGTACATGTCATTCTTTCTGTCAGCAGCTCTGATGTCAGGGGATGTTTTTAATAGGCTTGGATGTCCTCAGTGTGTAGACTATCACTTGAATATAAGCCACATGGGTGTAACTGAGGCCAATATTGGGAAAAATGCCTTTCTAAATACAGACTTTTTACACATTGGAAGCAGTACAGTATTTACTGCTTGTAAAGTGAAAGTCATCTGAGTTTTGTATATCCTACATAGACAGAATTAGATTGGTTGACCCAAATTCCATTATGAATTACGGGTAAGGGGTGAGGCGAGTGATGTGAGAGGGATACAGTTGGTATTCAGGGTCAAAAGTGATCAAACACCATTTTGTTTCCAGTTGACTCTAGGCTAGCTCATTATGAATAAGGGAAAACATTACCTTGGAGTTTGTTTCTTAGGTCTCAGGAATTCTTTATTAAGAGTTAGATTTTTTTTTAAGCCACTGTGGTACAGCACTGAAAGCGACTGTTTGCAAAAGAATGTAAATGCTATGTTACTAGATAGAGCCTGTACTCAATCCAGTCTTGGGGTGCCAGAATCTAGGACCTCAAAGGAGAAAGGGAAATTAGAAGGCTTTAAATATAGCAGATGGAAAAGAAAGCTTCCTCAAATAACATCTGGTGACAGTAGTTGCTGCTTTTCAAAAAAGACTGCATTATCCTCTGAGGGAAAAGACAATGTATTTTTCCCTTTAAAATATGGTGAATATATAGAGCCAAATATATAGTACCCAAATTAACCTTTTAATGAATTTAAAGTCCAAGTGAGCTGAAGCCCATAGATCACGTATTCTGAATACCTGGCATAGATTAACCAGTACCTCAGAAAAACTGAAGCCAGTGAGGAGTGCACCATGATTAGGAGCACAGGCTCTCAGGGCACCTGCCTAGGGTTTGCCTATTGGTGCTACCACTTACTAGTTAACTATATGACCTTGAGCAAATTCCTTGAGGGACTGGCTTGCCTTCTAAATGTGGTGGATGTAAGACCAGTGCATAGCCTAACTACTTAAACTTTAAGAATTCAGGTGCAATAAAGACTTGCCATTGCATTAAGTTAACTTTGTAAGTTAAGTTGTAGTTTCCTAAAGAAACTACTTGCATTTCAGTGCAAGACCATTGTGCTAAAGAACATCTCTGCTAAAGAGCTCCTAACTCCACCCAGGCATTGGGAACTCTGAAATTGAATTGACCAAAAGAAGAAATTGGGGAGAAATAATTTGGACTTCAGTTTCTTAGGACTTCTAACTCATGAGAGCAAAATAACTTAATTTGACACTTTAATTACTTGAGGTTTTAACTTTCATGGGAATTTAATTTTTAGACTCTATTCCCTAAGAGTTTGGTAATGAAAGTGTACATTAAAATTTGGGTATATTATTGTTGGCATTTTTAATATTGTTTTATCATATTCATCTTATTATTACAGTATCATGTTACTTGGGCCTGGGAAACAGGGAGTGGCAAGCATTCTGGATGCTCTTGTAAGACACAGGCACACTGCTGGATGGGAGATAAATCCTACCAAATGCAGGGGCCTGCCACAAAGATGAAGTTTTTAGGGATCAGGGATCTGGATACATGTTATGATTGACTTTCCTTTGTACCTCCCACCACTAAGAAATAGACATATACTTGTTATGAAAATTTTGGATATAGCACCAACCACATTTGGGAATATATCCAACTCATTTATCCTGTGACTCATAAGGCTACCAGTTTTGAATGCAGTATAAAGAGAGGTTTCTACAGCAGTATCAGTTTTCAGTACAAGTTCAGTACAGCTGATTGGGCCATATGACTCAGCAGATCTCAAGTTATTAGAGGTATCTGTGACAGGGTCTCTGGCAAACCCCAATAGGAGAGTCACAGAACAGACGCTTGGAGCAAAGCCATGCCATCTGCAGCAGAAAAGTATTCATTGTTTGAGATGCAGTTCCTGGCATGCTCTTCAGCTTCATGGAGGACATTAAGTGATTATACAAGTGAAGCTCATTGTGATGAGTTGGATATTATCAGACCTATTAAGAGGTAAAGTTGGGAGAACACAGTAGCAATCCATTGTATGATGAAAATAGTATACTCAGGACTTAGGCCTGAGCAGGTCCCCAGGGCACAGCTGAGTGAATAGGTTGCTGAGGCTCCCATGACACCTACCTCTTTTGTACTGATGCCTTTTCTTTAGCTCACTTGCCTATGGCTTCCAGGGGTTCACAATGACCAACTGATGGAGGAGGAAGTATCCAGGCCTGGATCACAGAAGGGTTGTAGTATGAACTGTTGCTGCACTACAGCCCCAATCAAGAGTGGCCCTAGGGCCGGGCGCGGTGGCTCACGCCTGTAATCCCAGCACTTTGGGAGGCCGAGGCGGGTGGATCATGAGGTCAGGAGATCGAGACCATCCTGGCTAACAAGGTGAAACCCCGTCTCTACTAAAAATACAAAAAATTAGCCGGGCGCGGTGGCGGGCGCCTGTAGTCCCAGCTACTTGGGAGGCTGAGGCAGGAGAATGGCGTGAACCCGGGAAGCGGAGCTTGCAGTGAGCCGAGATTGCGCCACTGCAGTCCGCAGTCCGGCCTGGGCGACAGAGCGAGACTCCGTCTCAAAAAAAAAAAAAAAAAAGAGTGGCCCTAGGAGACAGTGATGAGGGAAAATGCTCCCGTTGTGCAAAGTTTTGCAGAGTATACCTGACTATCAACTTGAATTGATGTAGTGAAGACATGTGTAGTCAGTTCTATATGATTGTGGACAAAATTTGCAAATCTCTGTATTTGCTATTGATGCCCACCAGAGGAGGCCCTAAACAACCAGGTTACATCAATGACTTCCCCAGTAGAAGCCAGTGAAGTTTTGTCTTTGGCCACCAGTATTTGTAAAATGAACTCATCATTAAAGTAGCCACGGTGAAAGAGAGGGAGGTTATCCATGAGCCCAACAACAAGGATCTTTTTTTCACTGAGGCTGATCCAACTGCCACTGCAGACTCTCCAAAATGTCAGCAGTTGAGACCAATGCTGAGCTCTTAGTGTACTACCATTCTTTGAGGAAATCTTCTAGTTCCTTGATGGCAAGTTGATTACTTTGGACCCCTTCCACCTGGAAGGGCTGGAATTCATTTCTTCTTCTATTAATATGGGTTCTGGGCATGGGTTTGCCTTCCTTGCATACAATTGCCTTAGTTGGCACCCCTGTCAGAGGACCTAGAGTGATTATGTGCTTATTGTTTGATTTATTATCACAGAAGCCTGCATCACCTTGGATTAAGCAACCAATTTTTTCAGGAAAAAAAGGTATGACAATGAGCACCTTACCACCATGGGATCCACGGATCTTAAAATACTCCACCCCATTCTGGAAGTGCTACCTGCTGGAATTGTTGCAATGGCCTCTTAAAGCACTGCAACATTTAGCTATCTTGGTGAATATACCCTTCATGGTTGGGCTACTTACTGTCTTTCATTGTGTGATATATATTTTGAACTAATGTCCATTATACAGGGTTGTATCCTCAATAGTTCTGGAAAGCAAGATATGGAAGAAGGAATGACTGCATTTCCATTATTCCCAGTGACCTATGTGGGGAATTGGTACTTCTCATCCCCACAGATTTAGTCTCTACTAAACCACAGATTCTGGTCTTCAGTGGGAGTAAGTGGAGGACATTTCTACTACGGGACACATTAATGGTTCCAGTAATCCTAAAGCTATGATTGCAGCTTGAACATTGTGGGTTCCTCATACATGTAAACAAGTAGGCCAAGAAGTGAGTTACTATACTACACTGACAAGGATAGATACCCATGATTACCATACAGAGATAAGATTATGGCTATGTAGGGGGACAGGAGGTGTGTCTAGAGCTCAGGGAATTCAATGAGCTACTCATAGGTGTGCTCAAGTCCATTATTCATTGTTAATGGGCAAGAAAGCCCAGTAACTACAATCTAGATTGAAAAAAGTGCTTGACTAAGGGCAAGGGGCATCTATTATGCATGGTATGAGGAAGGGACAAAAATATAATTTGTGGAAGTAGACACTTTAGTTTTTCCCACTGACCCTTCTGTTTTAAGTTTTTGTTTTGTAGAAATTGCAACCACCTTGGAGAAGCAGTGACAGTCTGGAGCTTATTTAAAATGTAGGGCATTTACAAGAAATATAATGTAGCAGGTGTTAATGCCCTACCCCTATCTCCTCAAACCATAACTTCAGTTGACTTCTAGCCACTAGCATCCACTGAAGGCTTTCTGTGATGATCGAAGGTCACTCTGCTGGCCTCAGCTGAGCAGCAAGCTAGAAGCACTGGAGAAGTACATGATTCTGGAAGGAGCCATCAACCAACATCTGATGAGAGTTGATGTGTTCCTGCCCTATCTCCCTCACCTCACATGTGGAATAACTCTGAGATGCCACCTCACATGTGGAATAACTCTCAGCTGGAGTTCCCCTGCAGGTTTAAACTTCATTTACTCACAATAGAACATTTGCTTGATACCTGCCCCCCCCCCCCCCGCCCTGACACACACACTTAGTGGCTGCTTCCCTGACTGTGTTAGTTAGGGTTCTCTAAAGGGACAAGACTAACCGGCTAGAGGTATATATGGAGGGGAGTTTATTAAGGAGAATGGACTCACACGATCCCCCAAAACTCAAAAGTAGAGAAGCCAATAGTGCAGCCTTCAGTCTGTGGCCAAAGGCTGGAGAGCCCCTGGTAAATCACTGGTGTAAATCCAAGAGTCCAAAAGCTGAATAACTTGGAGTCTAATGTTCGAGGGCAGGAAGGATCTAGCATGGGAGAAAGATGGAGGCCAGAAGACTTAGCCAGTCTAGTCCTTCCACGTTCCTCTGCCTGCTTTTATCCTAGCCAAGCTGGCAACTGATTACATGGTGCCCACCCAGATTGAGGGCAGGTCTGCCTCTCCCAGTTCACTGACTCAAATATTAATCTCATTTGGCAACACCCTCACAGACACACCCAGGAACAATACTTTGCATCCTTCAAGCCAATGAAGTTGACACTCAGTATTAACCATCACACCGTCCTGTCTCACTTCCTCCTTTCCTATCAGTGCTTCCTGGGATTATCTCCCAAATAAAACTCTTACACTTAAATCTTTGGCTTGTGGTTTGCTTCTATGCTTCTTAGAGAACCTAAACCAAGACAATACACAAAATGAATCACATAATCAAATGTGCAAGAGCTTTCTCTTATTTTTGTGAGTTGTTTATACCATAAGTTGTTTAAGTGAAGATGGATAGAGTTAACTGTGCTTGGAAATTTGATAAGGACCTGAACAACAGGAAGGTGTCTATTTGCCTAGATCAAGAGTCAGCTTACTTTTCTGTAAAGACCCAGATGGTAAATATTTTAGGCTTAGGGGCCTAAATTGATACCTTCAGTTTTGGATATTATTCTTTGTGCATTTTGTTTTTGTTACTTTATAATCCTTAAAAATATAAAAATGATTCTTAGCTCACAGGCTGCATAAAGCAGTCCATGAGTCTAATTTGGTCCACAGGCTATTGCTTGCTAGACAGAAACAAGTAAAAATATGGAGATGCTGGTTTCACAACATAACCTGGCCTCAAATGTGAGAAATTATGTTTTAAACAAGTTCTCATTCTTCAATATTGATTTATATTTACACAGATAGCCAAGGGTATTGGCTGTGGGACAAGATGCGCTTAAATCTTGTAATGATCTAAGTTTAAATAAGACAGAAATGTATGTTCTCCTGCAAATGTTCTCCTCCAAAACCACATGAAGGGAAAAAGTGCTTGGCACAGCCTTCTTTTGTGGGGGAGGATTATTATTTTAACAAAAACATTTGTAAAATAGTTCTGGAGACTCAACAAACCAAAGAGGTAATTGACTTTGCCCTCAGGAGTCATTCTGCACCTTCAGCCTACACCCCAAATATATTCATATTTTAGAGCAGAATTTTAGCTTTTATAACCTTCACAATGTGTTCACAGCATTAAATATATTGAGGGAGGAAAGTCCAAATGGGGTGATTTATTTGAGAAATTCCCAGATTGAGGGAAGGTGTCTCTTTGAAATGGTTGCCTCAGGGAAAGAGTATATTGTGATATATTTAGTAAATGATGTTAAGGAAAACTTCAGTGCACTATATAAATTGGGGATTGGGGAGGGAATAGAAAGAGAGAAAAATGTTTTCAATGAAGGAGATTTATGTACCAAGAAATAGTTTGGAAAAGAAATATTTTCTTTTGTTTCCTTAACCCTGATAGATTTAAAGGCTTTGGAAAGCTGAGGCAGAAAATTATTTTCACCTTTTCTGCTTTTACACTACTCCTTACTGTTTCTCCATAGTATATCACATGGCAATGTATTTTCCTGTTTCCATTTCTTGCTCATAACACAAAATAATATGAATGTCTGAACTCTGTTGCTTGAAGACAAGCATAGTTTGAAATCACATCCATTCCTCTTAGAAAGTGTTTAGCTGTATTGGTCCTCATGAGAACTAGTAGCTGTTGTCTAGAGCCTAAGAGAAGAAATTGTGTTTCTGCTTAGAAGTCCTACTTTCTGTGGCAAAAGGAGTTAAGACTCAATATCCCTTTATGAATAAGGCAGTCTGAAGCATCAGTACTTGGACTTTGAAGTGTTTAGCTGACTCAATTCATCCTTAGTAATGGGGGATCAGAAGAATATGATGGTTAAAATTATCAGAAAATGTGGAAATCACTGAGTCTGATATACCTCAGTTTCTGTCTCAAAGCTATTAATGTGTAGCCAAGTGGATGTGCTGGATACCTGGCTCCTACCTGAGTTTCTGATGGAGATAACATGATCATGGAATAAGACAAAAAGAAATCAAAGAGGAAAGAGAGAACTGCAAAGAATATGAATTTCTTATTACTAGATAATCAACCTCTGAGCAATTGAAGGTTAGCTGTGTGTGACTTTGGGAAGGGAATTTCATGATTTCCAAACTTTCTTTTCTTCCTAATTGAGGAACCTTGTTTACGTCATGGTAAGCCTAAGTGAATCAAGGGTTTTGGGCTTTATAGAGATTATGATAATTCCTACAGATCACTAAGGAAAAGTATTTACTATTTATCTCATATCCTTGAACCTCACAACATGTCAAAGCTATTTATAGAGGGTCTTCTATGCTCAGCCTAGGATAAAATGCACTAAAAAGACAGAATATGTAGGCCCGCTGCGGTGGCTCATGCCTGTAATCCCAGCACTTTTGGAGGCCGAGGTGGGCGGATCACGAGGTCAGGAGATGGAGACCATCCTGGCTAACACGGTGAAACCCCGTCTCTACTAAAAATACAAAAATTAGCCGGGTGTGGTGGCGGGCGCCTGTAGTCCCAGCTACTCGGGAGGGTGAGGCAGGAGAATGGCGGGAACCCGGGAGGCGGAGCTTGCAGTGAGCCGAGATCGCGCCACCACACTCCAGCCTGGGCAACAGAGCGAGACTCCATCTCAAAAAAAAAAAAAAAAAAAAAAAAAAATATATATATATATATATATATTGCCCTGATGGAGTTGATGATCTTCTTAGAGAGGGATACTTTCACATTTCTGAGCCTTATAAATGGCGTTGACTTTGCCTGTTCCTGTTTCTAGCTGTTAACCTGGAAAATGCTTACTCATTCTTCTAGATGGAACTCACATGTCACTTCCTCTTTGAAGCTTTCCATAAACCCAGTGATGCAGGGCAGCTGAGCCCCAAAATTGGGGATTAGCCCAGGAGAGTTCTTGGTTTTGCTCAGGAAAGAATTCAGTGGAATTCTGCTGACAGTAGAAGAAAGCAGGTTCACTGAAGCAGCAGTGTACAGCAGAGTGACTGCTCCTTGTGGAGCAGGGTAACCTGTAGGCAGTGCACGCAGACTAGCAGTGTTTGAGCTGTTCGCTAGCAGTATTTATAACCATTTTTAATTACATGCAAATTAAAAAGTGGGTCATTCAGAAATTTCTAGAAGAGAGGCAGTAACTTCAGGTTGTTGCCATGGCATTTGTAAACTGTCATGGTGCTGACGGAAGTGTCTGATGCTGATGAGCAGTAAGGGCAACTAGAGGTTGCCTTTGGAGCCTTTGCTAGCTTCGGCCTGTTTCTTTATTTCATCATGTCAGGACTGGGAAATACGTCCTGCTGGTCTCTTCCCATTCAGCAGTGAGTTTTCTTTCCTTTGTACTCTCATAGTTTTGTGAGACTCTGGCTATATGACACAGTCATCGTCCATTTTCTCGTCAATTTTCTCTGGACCATAGGCACTTTGCAGGCAACAAAATTGTTGTGTGTATTCTAGCACCTCACACAGAGCCTGAAATAGTGTGGATTCAGTTAATGACTAACAGTCCAGAGGCCAAATGTGATCTGCACACATGTTTGGTTTTGCCTGAGCACTGTGGGACTACATAGTTCTTTAAATTGTTTTAAATTAATTGCCAGAAAATTCAAATGTATGGTATCTCTTGAGAAAATGGAAGATCCAGCTTTATTAGTCTTTTTCTCTTATATGGGATGGTTGGCTGGAGTTGGGAAGTGGTTATTCCACATAAAAAAGGGTAAGTGTTTTCCAACCTGCCCTAATTCCCAGCACTCCCTAACATCAACTTGACCTAGATTGACCTAATTTACTTATTTATATTACCTGCCTGCTCCCTGTAGATATTGGAGATCACACTCCTGTGTCACAGAACTACCCAGTACTAAACTTGTCCCTTCTTTCTCAAAGTCATCCTAATTTTTACTGCCCGCATCCAGGAAGTAATCTTTACATCTTTTGAACTCCTCCTAGTTCAGTGGCCCTTAAAGAGGGGAGATGTGCATATCAGAATCACTTAGGATGTTCTTTTGAAATACCATTTGAAAATTTTTTTTGAGATGGAGTCTCACTCTGTCATCCAGGCTGGAGTGCAGTGGCACAATCTTGGCTCACTGCAACTTCTGCCTCCCGGGGTCAAGCAATTCTCCCACCTCAGCCTCCCCAGTAGCTGGGATTACAGGTGCCCACCACCACGCCCAGCTAATTTTTGTATTTTTAGTAGAGACAGGGTTTCGCCATGATGGCCAGGCTGGTCTCGAACTCCTGACCTCAAGTTATCTGCCTGCCTTGGCCTCCCAAAATGCTGGGATTACAGGCATGAGCCACCACACCTGGCCTTGAAATATCATTTTTAAATCTTAAAAGAAACATATGTTTAAAAATCCCCTGCATATATCACTTGTACTCACTTTAAGAACCACTGAATTTGGTCGTTTATTTATCATTTTCTTTATTGTTATTAGGTAGATCATTTATCTCCATTACTAGATTGTAAGCCCCTTGAAGGCAGGATCGTGTTTCATTTTATTTCTACCCTGAAAAGTGTATTGAACATGGCAGACAGACTCTCTCTCTCTCTCTCTATATATATGTATATATATATATGTGTGTGTGTGTTTGTGTGTGTGTGTGTATAAAATTTCCATTTTCATTTTAGATTCAGGGAGTACATGTGGAGGTTTGTTACAAGGATATATTGTGTGATCCTAAGTTTTGAGCTTCTATTGATCCCATCACCCAGAGATGAGATGGTGAACATAGTGCCCGACGGGAAGTTTTACAGCTGTTGCCTCCCTCCCTCTCTCCCACCCTTCTTTTGGAGTCCCCAGTGTCTATTGTTCCCATCTTTATGTCCATGTGTACCCAATAATAAATACGTTTGAATAAAAACCTTAAGTACACTAGATAAATTCAGAGAAAGAAGACCCTGAATTGTCAGAGGTGATTATACATGATTTCATGACGTCTGGTGGACTCGACCATTACCAAAACAACAATACTCCTATGGTCAATTCTAAAGGACCATCTGTTTTAGATGCAACTCCCATGTAATGGTCTATCTAAAAGGACTAACTTCCAAAGAGAGTATTTAAGGCACTGAAAGAATCTAATGTATTCAAAGAAAAATGCTCTATTAAAGAATCTGAATCTTCACATTATGAAATATTTGACATTCACCCTGCATCTTCATTGGAATATCTGTCTTTACTGAAAAAGAAGAAAAAATCAAGTACCGGATGTCACTGAGAAGAAAGGACCCACTGGAATATTTTATATACAGTTGTCCCTCGGTGTCTGTAAGGGATTGGTTCTAGGACCATTTGCATACCCGAATCCAGTCATTCCCAAATCCCGTCATACTCAGGCCTGGGGGAAACCATATAAATGAAAAGTTGGCACGGTTTCAAGGTTTTGCATCCTGTGAATACTGTATTTTCCTGCTTTGTGTCAAAAAATCTACTTAATCCACTTATAAGTGGACCTGTACAGTTCAGACTTGTGGTGTTCAAGGGCCAACTGTATATTCTTCTTGTCTACGTTGTTCATGACTAGGACCTTAAGGATACATAGATAGCTGAAACTGGATTTATGTACCTCAAATCACATGAATATTGCAGTTTTTTAAAAAATGAAGAGTGCCTTGTTTCTATTAAATTCTAATTATGACTACCATAACAGTAAATGAAGGCTCTCTAATTACCACAAGAGGGAGATATATAAATAACAGGTAGGCACTTAACTTGCTTCTGTTCGGTACTTCAGCTTGATGAGTTCCATATTCTAGACTCCTCTGAGGAAAGAGAGCAAGAGAGAGGTTTTATACTTTACGTTATTCCCTTATTATGAGATACCAACTATCTTTTCTGCTCTATAATTACTTCATTCTGCTCTAATGGATTCAACATTCATACCCTGTTTGTACGTTTACTAGTATTTATGAGTTTCCCTCACTTTACGAGCAAGTCTGATAGGAGAGAATTGTAGCTCTGCTCAACAGATTCATTTTGTCAACATACATTTGTTGTGTATGTTAGACCCTGAGCTAGGCAGAGGGGCTATAAAAAGAACGATAAAATTTTTTCATCATGGACGTCTTAGTCTAATGGGGGTGTGCCAACACCAAGACACGTGATGAATAGGTTTTTACACACTAAGTCATTAAAGAATACGGAGGGAAGGAGGTGATTGCCTCTGACTGGGAATGTCAGAGGGGGTAATGTTTAAACTGGGCCATGAAAGATGAATGGTAGTTCCACAGATTTAAAATGAAGGAAAAGGTATTTCTGGGATATTGTTGGCAAAAGTAGAGGAACTCCAAAGTGGAGCCTGCTTGGAAAAATGCAAGTCACCACCCATGGCTGGACTGAAGGATGCACAGAAGGAATAATGGGAGAATGATAGAGGAGATTTGAAAAATAGTTTCAATACCCATAAAGAGCAGGAAATTAGGCCCTGGGGTTGCACCATAAGCATAGTGGTGATGACTACATGTTCACGCTGTCTAATCTCCAGCTCTTTGTGGGTATTAAGACTATCAAGAGGTAAATATGGGGCTTTGCCTTATCCAGTTCTAGCCTCCATTGATAAAACCTAAAAATTTAACTTCTCTGACTCTCTTGCAGTAGATAGACTCCCCTAATCAGATGTTCTTTCATGAGATTTGGAAAGCGGAAATGCTTTCCAATTTCCACTTTTAGCTATGTCTGTTGGCAAGCATTTCCTGGTGTCTAATCTTTAGCTCTGTGTGAGTATTGAGAGGCTGTTGTGGTGGAGATTCTATTATTACTGACTTGAAATTATTAGTATTTTTTATCTTTGAGTTTGTGTTTTGTGAGTGAAGTCTGATGTGGGTTGGGCACAGGGAGCGATCAAAGCCTCAGCTCAATCTAGGTGTCTTGAATCTCTGGGAGGATTCCTTGGATACCTGTTCTTCCTGCCGCCTGGGACACCAGATCTTATCCTTTCCTTTCCCATCTTTGCCTAAGCTACTGCTGCCGTGCCTTATTCCCACCCAGGCAGGTGCATGCAGTGCCATGGCAGCACAGTGGGCGACTTTGTGGGATGGGCCTCCTGGACACCCCGTTCAGGTACTGAGTGTGTCCTGGCATAGATGACGCACTCCACTGGGAGTTACCCATCTCTGTGTGTTGGAGACATTGGCCTGTGGGAAAGCAAGTGTGGATTCTTTGTCCCCATCCAAGAAGGTCAGCCCAGTGACTGGCGGGAAGGGGGTCCAGCAGATGGTGAGCTGTGCACTGAGTCACTGCACAGGGCCCCTGGAAACCTCTGAGGATCTGCAAACAACCAGCAAGTATCACTGTATTTAAAGGAGCGAAACAGCAAATAACAAATAAAAGACACCATGACACGTTGACAGACCCCTGAACAAAGGACAAAGGTTAGTATGTTGCTACTTTTAGTGGCACTTTTCCCCCACCTTTCAAATGAGACACCACATTTTCCTTTTGCACTGGGCCCTACATGTGATGGAGCAGACCTTGCCTCTAGATAGAGCACCTACAACAAAATCAGATCGTTAGTGCTACAAAGAATAATTACTTGCTCCTAAAGGACATGTGGCTTATTATGCTAAAAGAATGGTTGTCTCCTCTCCAGATTTGAATTACATTATACTAGGATTTATTCTATTCCCAGAAAGAGTGGGAGAAGGGGAAAATCAAAATGCCTTCTATCTGTAGGCTCTGTGTATGTGTGTGGTTGGGGGGGAGCCACTATAGAGAGAAGGAATGTGAAAGACAGGAGGAGAGAAAAAGAAATAGAGGGAGAGAACATCAAGGGGAGAGAGAAAGAGGATTATTACCAGGGCAAAGTCATCAAGAAGAAGGGCATTTCTGGAGAGTGTGGGGAAAAGGTTTGAATCTGGCAACTATAGAAATATCTCTTCAGAGAAGCAAGAAAAGGAAGTAGTGATGGATGGAAATAAAGTGCTTTTAGAGTTGCCAGGGGTGTATGTCTTCTATTTTTTCATTCTGGTTGCCTGAAATTGAATAAGGTTAAACATTAGTGAATGGAAGAAAAATAAAAAGTTTAGCTGTGGCAGGTGGTAAAAGGAACAAAGTAGAGATGAGTAAAATGATTGGAAAGGATGATTTACTGTTTGAAATAATTCTGTAATTTTAAAGAAGGGGGCCGTTGTAGGCTTACTACAAAGAACAAGCATCATCCATGCATTAAAAATGATTTTCAACAGATTCCATGTGACACCACCTCCTCGGGCATGTCTATTGCTATTCCTTGCAAGGAATACTTTTACTTTAAGAGTTTCTTTTTAAATTTCACATGCCTTCGGTGGATTCCTAGTTTGCTCTCTTGGACCTTGGCTTTTCATTCTTGGTTTTTGCTTTATCTGTTTTCCTGGCTTAGATTTCTAGGGAGTGTAGGAAATAGCAACTGCTGACAGCTTCCTTTGCCTCATGGGGCCTGCTTGTTAAGAACAAGCTTCAAGGGCAAGTTCCAGTTGTTGTAAGTGGGTAGAAACTTACCTTGGTTTGGCCATGCTGGGAACCACATCCTGGTATTTACTTGTTTGTCAACATTGCGGTGTTGACCCTTCTCACAGAGGCACTATTCCTGGGTGACTCTTATAGATTGTTTCTGTGACAAAACAGCCTTTAGCATGTTCCATGAAGTTCTTTAAGCTTTGCCGTGGAAGAGGGCAAGCCCCTGTCCCTTGTGACCACTTAGTGCTTCCCTTGGGTCCATAGTTCTATAGTTTTTGACTTTAAAGAAGAGAGAGTCTACATTAGGCAAAAAATTTATTTCAGCTCCCAGCCGTCAACATGGAACCATTTTTACACTGTTAGGCGCACTATCACCATTGTCTTTAAAAGCAAATACATATTTACTTGTTAAAATTTGAACTTTCATTTTAGGTTCAGGGGGTACAAATGCTGATTTGTTACATGAATATATGGTGTGATGCTGAGCTTTGGGGTAAGGATGATCATGTCACCCAGGTAGTGAGCATAGTACCCAATAGGTAGTTTTTCAGCCCACGTCCCCTTTTCCCTTCCCCCTCTAGTAGTTCCCAGTGTCTGTTGCGCCCATCTTTATGTCAATGTGTACTCAATGTTTAGCTCTCCCTTATAAGTGAAAACGTGCAGTTTTTTGTTTTCTTTTCTTGAGTTAATTTGCTTAGGATAATGGCCTCCAGCTGCATCCATGTTGCTGCAAAGGAACATGATTTTGTTCTTTTTCCTGCCTGCGTAGTTTCCATGGTGTATATGTACCAGATTTTCTTTGTCCAATCCACTGTTGATGTGCACCTAGGTTTATTCCGTGTTGTTATGTAGTAGTAGAAACCAGGTTGGTTGATTTTTCCTTGGTTGGAGGGGTGAGTGATGGCAAAGAAGATATCATTACAGTCTGTGCTTCTGTGTCAGTATTGCCATATCTTTGTAGAGGGTAGCATGGTGTCTCAGTTGGGACTCTGTTTGCAAGCATATAACTCTCCAGTGGCTAACTTCAGGGGAAAAAGGGATTTATGAAGCAAGGAGACTGGGTAGATCCCAGACTCTAAGGCAAAATTGAACAATTGGATCTTGTCAAGGACAGGAACTAGGAGAGTTCTCTGGAGTCTGGTATGAGGAACTTAGGGACTGATATACTCTTATTTCAGAAACTCCCATTAGAAAGACTCATCTCTTGCAATTATTCATTGTTAATGACTCACACATGTTTTAGATTCCCAGGAGACAGAGTGTGTGATTGGCCTCCCACTGCATACACAGTCATCCCTTGGCCAGGCTGATGGGGCAGTTTTATTGACAATTCCATCATGATTACACTGTTAGGAAGGGGACATACCCAACTGAAAATAAGCACCAATTATGTGCCAGACACTTTTACATATGTTGTCTTGTTTAACCCTTATGGTCAGCCTACAACCTATGGGATTTGTATTATTATCATTGCTTTCCAAACAAAGAAGCTAACACTCTAAGAAACAAGTGACCTGCTTATGATGACAAAAATTAAGAGGAATTGAACCAGGATTCAAATCTATGGTGAATGGCTACACTTATTAGGAATTCATTATCTCATGTTACTAATTATTAGTTAATAGAGATGATGATGATGGCTATTATTTTAGGGCCTTTTTGAGATTCTTTTCTCCCTTCGGTTTGGTTAGTTTATTCATAGGACGTGGTAACAAAGGTTTACCCTGTCCAAATGACCCTTTTCCCTCTCAACCATCTTCACAAATCCTTTATTCCTAGGAGACACCATCAAAGCCCTACTCTAAGTCCCTTTATTTTTGGCAAAATTCTAAAAGAGCCAAATTTTAAGTTCAGAAGTGGACTTAATATAATCAATCTTACCAAAACCCAATAGAAATAACAACTTCTAGCCTAGCAGAAAAATTGATCCAAGCAGACACCAGAACTAGACTCAAAAAACACAGTAAGAGGGTTAGAAACATTAAGCCTTGCCCAGGCACAGTGGCAAATGCCTGTAATCCCAGCATTTTGGGAGGCCAAGGCAGGCGGATCACTTGAGTTCAGGGGTTCCAGACCAACCTGACCAACATGGTGAACTGTCCTCTCTGCTAAAAATACAACAATTAGCCAGGCATGGTGGCAGGTGTCTGTAATCCCAGCTGCTCAGAAGGCTGAGGCAGGAGAATTACTTGAACCTGGGAAGTGGAGGTTGCAGTGAGCTGAGATTCAGCCACTGCACTTCAGCCTGGGTGATAGAGCAAGACTCTGTCTCAAAAAAAAAAAAAAAATTAAGCCTAAGAGCAAATGTTGTATGTCGATCAGTGGTCCCATAGGTCTTCATTATATTAAACCACAGGCCAATCAACATTGTTTAAAAGAAAGTTATGCTCAATGTCCTTCATTTAAAATGCATGGAAGGACAATGTTTAAGTGGAGGTGACACTGCAGGTCCACAGTGTGCTTTTCTGAGCTGAGCTTCTATATGGAACTTCTGGGCACAGAGCCTTTCCATAAAGATGACCCTTTCATAAGCTGTGCCCGTTTGTCCTCGTCTGCCATAGGAGAAGGGCATCTGGGGCTAAGACCATAATATACTGTGGTTTCTGTAAACACACAACGGATTTTTAAAACATGCATCTTTCTTCTTTAGTGTTGAAAGTAATCCATACACAAACTATGAATTTATCTTGACTTCAGTGGAACTGGAAATGAGGTTTCAAACCTTACTTCCTACTATTTGAACTCACTGGACTCCCTATATATCCTTTTTAGTAGTTCGTCCTATCTTTTAGTAAAATCCCCAAGCACATGCACTGGCTGTCTTTACTGCATTCCTTCTAGACTGTAAAGTTACTTGTAGAAAGAGAACACATTTGGCCATCTTTCATTTTTTTTTTTCTTGCCTGCTTTTCTCTGACATACTTCTTTCTCTGACTATTGCCATCTTAAGTGCTTTTAAATACTATCAGGGCTTTGGGGTCAGGATAAGGGTTCCATTGTCACACAGATGCATTCTGTGTATACTCGAGCCTCATACTTCAAAGGGATCAAATGATTCCATTAAGGAAGGAATGATGCTCTGGCATGGGTGAAGGGAGCTGAGTAGACAGGAAGGAAAGAGTGATAATGGAAAACACTGACCATGAGGAAAAGAAAAGAAAATGGGCTGGAGGATCCTGAAAGGAATTGTGGCAGAGGCAGAGGAGAAGGAACAGGAAAAGAAAAGGCTTCTGAGACAAAAACATATCAAAGGGACACAAGGTTAGTTGGTGAGAGAAATTATTACGCCAACAGCAATAATGACAAGCACAGAGTAGATCAAAGTCTTTTTATGGCTTTCTGAGTTGGGGTAGGCTAAACTACTGTAATAAATGGATGCAAACACAAATTGGCACAAAGTTGGAGCTTATTTCTTCCTTATGTAACAGTCTAAAGTAGATCCTTGGGTATTGAAAGAGCTCTCCTCCATTTGGCAGTTCAGAGACCTGGACTGCTTCCATTTGGTAGCTCTGCCATCCTCTAGAACTTAGTCATTGTCTGCAGCCGTATGGTGAAAGGGAAGGGGAGAATGGAGAGCCACCTGCTCAGTTAGAAACCCCAGCCCAGAAGAGACACGCATGACTCCACTGGACACAACTCAGCCAGCAGGCCTGCATTTGTAAGGGAGGCAGGGAAATGTCATTCAGCCATAAGCTCAGATAAAGTCCAGGTTCTGTGGAAGATGAGGAGAATAGGTTTTGCTGGACTGCTTGTAGTTTCAGTCCTAGTGGCTCAGTGAGCAACCACAGAGCCATAGGGTTCAACAGATCTGTCTTACATTCTGTAGCTGGTGAGATTGCTCAGTTGCATAGGCTCTCTGAGGCTAATATTAACGCCTATCAGAGGATCCTTATGAGCATTAAATGAGATGATTAGTATAAAGTATTTAGCACAGCATCTGGAAAACTACAAACAGTAAATGTTTGCTATTATTCTTCACAGCTATAGAACAAATAAGGGAAAGCAACAAATATCTATTTGTAATACTGTTATAAGAGTTACTTTAAACCTATACTAATTTAGAAAATAAGAAAATTATTTAAATATATTTTAAATACTACTTGCGTGTAACAAAGTATGTGGGACACATCTCACCACTGACTACTAAACATTTGCATGCTATAACATCACTTTTTAAACCTCTGATAGGAAGAGTCACCCGATAGATTTTGCTTTTCAGATTATCCTTGTAGATGAAGATCCCAGATAGTCTAGACCAGGGGTTGGTGAACTTTTTCTGCGAAGAGCCTGGTAGTAAATATTTTTGGCTTTGCTGGCCATATGGATCTCTGCTAAAACTACTGAACCCTGCTTTTGTAACATGAAAGCAGCCATGGTCTGTAACTAGTGAGCATGGCTGTGTTCCAATAAAATTTTATTTACAAAAATAGACAGTAGACTGAATTTGATCTGTGAACTTTTTGGTTACCCTTTCCCTAATCCACCATTTTTTTTCTCTTACCACGTCACATTCACTAGCTTTTATTTGAGAAAATGATTCCCACTTGACAGACAAGGAATTTAAATCTCAGATAAGTAAAGTTACTTGTCCACAGCCAAGTGACAGGTGAGCTGAGATTCAACCTGAGTTCTGGCTGGCTCCAAAACCTGCGGTCATCCCTAGCATGCTGTCACTCCACCTTATTTAAGACCTTCTTTGTTTTTACTGCGTGTCAGAGCCAGGACCATGTTGGAGCTGGAAGTCCCCTTTGGTGGCACAACAGGGACACTTAAAGGGCTCCTTGCAAAGACTGAAATTGCAATCAGACAATTGAAAATTGGAAGAGCTGGGCTTTTCCTCCATCTAGGATTTATTCTCAGTTGATGTCTAAGAATAAGAGGGCTGTCTTTTCTCTCACCTTGGGCCAAGCTGGCTGGTATCTTTGTAGGTTTGTCAAATGCTGACATGGGCTTTGCCTTTGAGTCCCAGCCTAAAAAATCCCAGCTGTCCTTGCATGCTAACAAGACAACATTTTTCTTGGATCATTTGTTCTCCAACCTGGGCTACCTCTGAGCCCATTTCTGTCAAAGACTCTCCTCCCCACAGGCCAACTCCTCTCCTACAAACTCTGAAAGGGCCTCTGAAGCCAACACTGTTTACCAATTTGTTCTTAAAAGTGTCAGAACTGCAATCAGATGAGGTCAAGCAACAATTCTCACAGCTGTTGTAAAACATTGCTAATTGCTCTACAGGCTTAATAGAAAACACAGTGCTGTAGCCTGGAAATGGTAATTATTGTGACTCAGGTTTCTTGGCCTAAATTCCCCAGTCGCATGTTCTTTCACAGTCAAAGGGGTGGGGTGGGGGGACGGGAAGAAAAAGAAAAGCAAAACATAACATACTACAACTTTCATAATAAAAATACTATAAACAATTTCTAAAATGAAGGGTCTTCCTGACTAATAAAATTGGAGTCCTTTGTCCAGAAAGCAGTGTAGATCTCACTAGAACAAAGGAACTCTGAAGATATGGATTCTCTACCTCATGCTAGGAAATATTGATTGCAGCCTATGAGAAGACTTTCACTTAATCACATTTTAAAAAGCTTTCATAAATATTGCAATAAAGTGAAATTCATTGCTAGTTAAACGCTAACACCAGCATGAGCTTATTTATCATCCAGATGACTGAGCTGCTGGTGAGAGGAAACAGAGGGACAGTAGGGGATTTATATAGCACATCTTGAAATATCTTCCTGCAAGGTAATAAAGGCCATGCTCCACATTTGGATCTAATGGCCAATAAACAATTTTCTGAAAAAGAAAAATAAAAGTGGTGGAAGTAGGCTGCATTGTGAAGTTCTATTTACACTGCAGTCAATTATTGCAGTGTTAAGCTTTATTACAAACTTTTTTTTTCCTGTTAAACATAGCTTGTCAGAAATCTTATAACAAGGGAATAAAATGTCAGGATGGTGTCCAGATCATTATAGCATGTTCCTCATAACAGATTCTTACTTCTAGAAACTCTAAATGATTTGTGACAGTGTTCATGGCATTTGAAAGTAAAATTAGTCAAGTGAGATTTTTTAATGAAGAATGTTTGATAAGAAGAATTGTCTGAGTTAAGCCTGGTGACACATGCAACTGACTTTTTTTCCTGCCATTCTTTCATTCACAAAGTGAAAAGTCCTGTCTAAATCTGTGCTTACATAGGCATCTTTGAATATAATGCTGCCTTAATAAAGTTTACATCTCTATAGTCATCAAAATAAGACAATAGTTTAAAAAAGAGAAGTAAATTTTTTGGTAAAGAGCTAGATGGGATTCTCATTTCATTAAAAGTGCCTTTAACTTTAAAGGTGAAATAAAATAGAGACAGGTGAGATAATCTGGTTAGAGGGAAAATGAGGAAAGAATAATAAGAGGAGTTTATATGCAAAATATATGTAACGTACATTTCCTAGAGGCCACAAATTTTATTTTGAGCTTTCTAGTTTGCAAAACAAAAGGCATATAGGCTCGTGATTCTGGGTCCATAAAATAAACATAATGTAAAGCAATTGTTCAGGATAGACATAAGTTTTTGGTATTAAGACCAAATTGTGAGAAATTTCTCCTGTGAGTATTTATAAAGAAGAAACTGTAATGAACTATGTCCTCAAAAACATGATAGTAAGTGTAGTAAAGCTTTTTACACATAAAGCTTTTTCTTCATAAAGCTTATTCTCATAATATCTGTCAGCTTAACTTGGTGGCAAATTGACAGAGCACAATTCAGCCAAGTCAAGTATACCAGAGGAGTGCTAAGCTGCTACCCTAACCGTAGGGCCTATGGTTTCCCCTTGTTCCTCTCCCTCTTTGTTTCTGTCTGCCCCTGTTAATTGGTATCTCATTTTGCATACTTGTTTTCTTCTACATCTCTTTAGTCTTGTCAAACAAGACCTACCCTAGGAAACATGCCTAGGTAACTCACTTCCCTTATGAAGTTATGGTCATGATGGCACCTAATTTGTGTATATATGTATACACTATACATATATATACACATACATATACATATATATGTGTATATGCCTTTAACTTTATACATGTATATGTATAAAGTTATGTATATACATGTATATATATGTATACACACATATAACTATATACATATGTGTGTATATATATAGTGTGTGTGTGTGTTTGTGTGTGTGTGAGTGTGCATATCTGTAACTTTATAAGGTCAAAGCAAGCAGTGATGGTTTCTACATACATAAGGACCTGAAAATAGGGTAGTTTGTTCAGTGCAGTCCTGGCTTATTCCTTCCTGTTAAAATTACAGAAGTGCCCCTTTTCATGCTCAAAAGTATCTCTGTTTGGAAGCTAAGTAACATGGTCACCCTACCTCTAAACACACTGGAATCAAAGAAGGGAGGCTAATAATGTTGCCTCTTACTTTCCTTCAGGCCAATTACTGGGGAACATGAAAGGAATTCCATGGCAGAGGAAATAGTCAACCTGTATGATCAAGGCTAACTTTTGAATAAACTTAAGGGACTGGAACCACCAGGCAGCTAAATGATCTATCTTATATTCAGAGGATAAGTCCCTTTCTACTGGAAACAGAAAGAGCTCTGACTCTGATGGAGCTATAAGAACTTAGATCCAGCAGCTGATTAGGAACTGCAGCACCATTTATGCATTGTTAACACAAAGGGATATGATGGTATTGACAGGTGGCTAAGATAAGGGCAGTAGTACTTAGTACTGTCTGAAAGTAGGATCAGAAATGGCATGAGCCTTGGAAGAAGGGGAAAGGAGTCTCTTCTATGAAATGAACATACATCCTTAATTACTACTTAAAGGAAGAAATACAACTGGCACACTTGTGAACTTGTGTATGAGAAAAAATGAGAATGAGATAGAGTACAAAAATGAATAAGGAGAATCGGGGATAGAAACAAGAAAAATTTGCTGGTGATTAGAGACCAAGTAACAAGACAGAGTCAAATATTGCTGTGACTGGCAACCAGACTAAAGGGAAGCAAGTGCTAAAAATAGACTTCACTTTAAAATCAATTTAGCAAATGTTAAGGCTTAAGAAGAAATGTTGTTATTCTATTTAGAATCCTGTGTTAAAATCCTATTTGTTAAGGTGTAACTTTACAGCCTTTGAATAACTATCAGAAAGAAAGAAAAGCTATTAACAAAGCAGCCCCACCTGGTGACAACTGACTTGACCTTGACCTAGATAAGGTGAGAAAGATGGATTTGTGTTCCATGTATAAGGATCAGAGCCTTGAAAAACTACCCATTGGTAGTGGGTGTTTTCTGGGTTTTTTTGTAATATTATTGTGTAAAACAGGAGCTTTATTGTGTAAAAACAGTCATCCACAAGTAATCAAAACCCAGTACCTCCAGCGTGGGTGAGGAAAACAGTGTTTACACAGCTCATATGGTGTAGGAATTCTGGACAAGAAATTAAAATAAAATACATTCAAGATCATTAATAATTTAGAGATCCTGGCAGAAGAAAATGAGAATTGTTCTGTGATACAATCTCAAAATGCAATGCTTATAGGACTCCCAAAGATAAACAAGACTCAGTGAGTTTGAGTCCATTATACCAAAATTATAAACATGTGAGTTTATGTGCAAGAAAGAGGAGAATTAATACTCTAAATAGAGGACATAACCAAACATATCAGGAAAGATTATACATTAATATGTTTAACATGAATTAATGAAATAAAAGAAAGTGTATAATAAAAATAGGTCTGTAAGCAAAATATCAGTTTCAAAAAGAGCTAAATAAAAATTACAGAAATAAAAAATATAGTATTTGAAATTAAGAACGCAGTTGATGAGTTAAATGGCAGATTAGATACAGCTGAAAAGGATTGATGCGATTGGAACAGCCACCTGAGGAAGTCATCCACACTATAGATCTCAGAACTGAAAGACATGAAAGAGCAGTTAAGAAACATGGGGGAGAGTGTGAAAAGGTATGAAGTGTATCCAATATGGGTTCTGGTAAAATGGAGCAGAGAGAATGAAGAAGAACCAGCATTCTAAAAGATAATAATTGAAATTTTCCATACTTGAAAAAAGAATTGAATTATCCCATTAACAAAGCACACTAAGTCCTGAATAGGATAAATAAAAAACACATGCTAGACACATTGTCAGAAACTGGAGAATATGAAAGAGGAAGATCTTAAAGTGAATCAGAGGAAAAATAAATTTTCTCAAACAGAGGAATCACAAATAGACTAGTATATTTCCCAGCAGTGGCAATGGATGGCAGAACACAATGGAACAATATCTTCTGAGATCCAAGGGAAACTATACTTCTTAATAAAGAAGGTAAAATAAATAAATTTTCAGAGGAAAAAAATGACAGTTTACTAATCATATACTTTTACAGGGAACTAGTAAAAGATGTGCTCTCATTAAAGAAAAAGGAAGATGTGGGAAGGAAGAAAAAATAGAAAGCAAAACAAGTGTAAACATATAGATATAAATATGCATTATTATTGATATGTCTATATACATTCTATGTATCTGTAATCTAAATATTCATTATTTGTGCTTCAGGGCCACCAGCATCCCTGTGTCTGCAAAGTGCCTTCAAAACTCAGCTGTTCTAGCCATTGCCAACCTGTGAACTTCCTACTGTATCCTAGAATCTGCTATTCCCCAAACCACTTCCCAGTTTCCATTCAGTAATCTTTCTGAAGGAGCCAGGACAATAGGGCCTGTTGTTTAGTGAATTTCTTTATTATTTTCAGCCTTTAAAATGTAATTTCCATCTCTTGCAGTGAATTTGTTTCCTTTTTTTGCTTCATTTTGTTTAAATGTTCAGGTATTTAGCTCCCCTTTTATATTCTTTAAAAACTTTTAAATTACCTGTTATAGGATGTTTCCCCAGAGCAAAGAGCAAAATTTTACAGTTGTTTGTAGCAGTTCTAATGATCTATAATTTCTAATTCCATCCCTTTCATCATTGTCTCTTCGTTTTAATATTTTTAATACAATGCCATTTTAAAAGAACTCCCCCAAAATAAATATACATTATTATTATAACAATAATATGGAAGGAAAAAAAGTGATTTGAATTAAAGCATTCTTAGGTACTTGTATTATTTAATACAAGTTAACGAGGGGGAAAAAGATAATGGTACTTTTAGAAATTAGTGAGTCAAATATGCATGATAGAAATTAAAGGCAGCTAGTAACAGAATAAAAATAGGATGTTTGCTTTGATACCAATAGAAGAAGTATGAAGGGGCATAAATAAAACTTCATTATTTCAACTGGAAGAATGGAAAGAGAAAAAGCAAAGAAAAAGTAAATAGAAAACACAAAATAAGATGATGGAAATAATTTCAAAATATGGGTTCTGGTAAAATGGAAAAGAGATAATGAAGTGGCAACATTCTAAAAGATAAAAATTGAAATTTTCCATACTTGAAAGTCACAGCGATGTAAATGGTATAAATTCATAGGTTAAAAGAAAATTCCTTAGGTTAGCCAATAATAAAAACTAAAAGGGAAACCAAATCAGTAGCAAGATATTCACTTGAGGCAAGCTAATGACAATGAGATTGAAACAGAAGGTAGAAAGATAAACCGGAGATGAAAAACGTTCTTGATTGCTTATTCAGCAGTCATTCTAGATGTCCTTTGCAGCCCTTTCTTTCTTGATGGCAGAACCTTATGTCACGTTAGAGGATAAAAATACCAGTTTTGCAGGTGACCAGCCTCTTTTGCAACCACAGACCTGTGCCCATCTGCTAGTCTTTGTGTATTTTGCTCTTGCCTAGACCATTTAGCAGCCTCATCCAATTGACATTACGATGCCTCCAACTCCTTCCCCCTTTTTAAAGGTAAATTTCTATGTTTACTAAATTATTTCACTGTTAGGAATTTAACACATATATTTTAATTATACTATATGTTTTGTTTCAATTGTTGCTTTCATTAATATTCTGGTTGAATATGCTCTGTTAGATGGAGCTTCCAAAAAAGTTACCGTTTTGTTGTTGTAAAGGCACAGATTCAGCAGGTAGACCTTTTCCTCTTTGGAACATAGATGCCTGGAGGGTGGGGAGGGATCTTCATTTTGGAACTGTGAGGGTGAAAGCTGAATGCTAAGGATACTAGAACAGAAAGCTAGACGGAGCCAGGATCCTTTGAATTCCTCAAGCAACTGCTCTCAGCTTTGGGCGGCCTGTCTCTGGACTTGTTTCATGGAAAAAGCAAAAATCCTATCTGGTTTAAGCAATCTTGGTTGAGCTTTTCTTATATTCAGTTGAACATAATCCTAATTGATATAAACAGTATATTCTGAAGACTATTAGGCATTCATGAATAACAATAATTTGCATTTTGAGAGTGCTCAAGGGCCTTTGCACCCCTTCTTACAACTTGATCTTCCCCAGAACTCTATGAGGTGAGTACAATAACTGGTATTATTCATATTTTCTAAATGAGTTAATTGAAGCTTTGACAGACTAAATGAGTTTCTCAGGATCACATAACCAGTCTGGCAAAGTGGGATAGGAGGCCAGGTGTCCAGGTTTCTAGAACAGCACATTCCCACAGCACCAACTGATAGGATGGTATTCACATTTGTGGTTAGGCAGAAATTCATCCAGATGCTGTCTGTCATCAACTCTCAGTTCAAACCCATGAAAAGGTACAAGACTCACAACTTTCGAGGTTGTCCTTTTATAGCTTAAGTATAATTTGCCACACTGAGTAACAGCAGGTTCCATACTGGTCGATAACTAAGAGGGTCTGTCTCTGCTTTTGTGGGCTGTTTCCAGGCTGCAGCTTTGCAGGGGCACATGTGCCAAGTAGGTGAGCTGAATGGTGGGCATCCTTCTCTCTACCCACCCCTCCCCATGGTTCTTGATCTTTATTCAGGTGGGATGATGGTCCTGCTTAATGAATATGATCTTTAAACAAACCTATACTTCCAGTGGAAGGAGAAAATGAGTCACTGGGAGGAGTGTTTTTTGAGGCAAGGTGTTTGCAAGTATAAATGTGTAACTCAGATTTTAAAATCAAATATCTTAAATGCTTTTTGGAATTGGAAAACCTTCAAGAGAGAAACACGGTTTAGAGATCTGTACTTCTCAGACTTTAGCGTGCAATGTAATTATTTGGAGGACTTATTAAGACCAAATGCTGGGGCCCATCACCAGAACTTCTGATTCTGTAAGCCTGTGGCAGGGCCCAAGCATTTGCATTTCTAAGAAGTTCCTAGGTGATGCTGCTGCTGTTGATCCAGGCAACACTGAATTAAGACTAAGAAAAATCAGCAAATACCAGAGCTGATAGAAACATTAACTCTCTTCCAGCTCACATCTCAGACATGTCAGGTGATTTTCTCGGGGTTACATGGCCAAGTTAATGGCAAATGCTAGATTTCTAGACTTCTTCATATTTAGACCAGAACCTTTCTACCTTCCTCTGCTACTGAGTCAATTCATGGATTTGCTTTGCTCTTCTAGAATATAATAATTATACATGTATAATAACATATATTTTATATAATATACATTACTATTTATATATACACATACACATACATATAGTATTCTGTGTTTGTGAGTTTCAAGGAAGACTTATGGCTTCAATTCACTTTGAACATTTGCTGTTAGCAAGGAAAACAAATAATTCAGTGGCTACAGAGATTTTCAAATTCTTTTATGCTTTGAGACTACCTTGTAAGAACAATCTGGTCCTTCACTTCTCTTACTTCCCTTGGTGTGTATCTGAATGATGCTCACCTCTGCTCAGTGACACTCTTGCACTCCTAAAGGCGAAGTGCATGAGTATCCTACACTCCTAAAGGTGAAGTGCATGAGTATCTTAGATTAGTGCATGCTCTTACTAAAGAAACTTGAGCAATCCAACCGCTTCTTACTAATCTGAACATTTCTGTACTCCCAGCAGGGGGTAAGTAATCGCTTACAACAGGGGTCACCAAACATTTTCTGTAAAAGGCCAGATGGTAAATATTTGAGGCTTCATGATCCGTAATGTCTCTATCACAACTACTGAACCCTGCTGTTGCAGTGTGAAAGTCATAGACAATACAGAAATAATTAGCATGGAACCAATAAAACTTTATGGATACAAAATAAAATTTCATATTCTCACATGTCACAAAATAATATTCTTTGGGTGTTGTTTTTAAGCATTTAAAAAGGGAACAGACATGTGGGCCACACAAAAACAGGCAGCAAGCTAGATTTGGTGCACCGTCTGTAGTTGGCTGATCTGTAAACCTGAGTTCTTCCTCTGCCACTCCCTGTCCCTCCATCCCTTCATCTCCCAGCACGGTCAAGGTGTCCATGAGCATCTCTTTTCTGCCATTAAAATTCTATTGCTGGGGGAAAAATTTTAGTGCTGGTAATTAACATATAAAAAAGATTTGACCTGAAGCACAAACTAAAACTACAAGGAGATGTCACATTAATTTGGCAAAAGTATAAGAAAGTATAATCAAAACTAGTCAGGGGCACTGAATGAGCTCTCAAATGTTGGTGGGAATTGGTACAAGGGTTCTGGAAAGCATTTCATTTGTTTGTATGTGTTAAGGTTCTTAAGATGTTCATACTTTTTTACCCAGACTACCTCAGAAAAGAATCTATTCTAAAGAAATAATCAGCAATAGGAACAAAGAATATTTGTTTCCTAATGGTCAAAGATAGGGAAAATATGTTTATTGAGGATTTATCATAATGAAAAAATAGAGTCTAAATGTTCAACCATAGGAAATAGCTAAGTACATTTTAATTTATTTGTGCAATATTAACAGTGACAATCCCTGTCTGTAGCATTAAGGGTAAGTTTTTTCTTGTTTATACTTCTCCATTTTCATCAGGCTTTCTGTAAGGTGTACACATGACTTTTAAATTAAGCAAGATTATAAGTAATTAAGAAATACAAAGAGGTGAAAAAATTTCCTGTAATGATCAATGTCTTCTTTGCCTTTACTTTTTTGTGTGTGTTGATTACAGTGTCTATCTGAAAGCCTTCAAAGCTGCTAAATTTACCCCAATTCCTTTGGTGGATATGTGACCTTCTAACTCTTTACACCTACTTTGCCTCCTTAACGTCACTTCTCCCAGCTTCACAACTCCACTCTGCCAATTCTTGTTTCATGGTAGGAGACACCTTTTCCCCACCAGTGGTACCTTTCTTCTGCAAAGAGTAAGATGTTCTCACATTCTCAGTTTCTTGCAATGTGCCTAGTGTTTTCAACTCTTTTTATTTGGATTGCTGTGTTTTTGTTGGTTTCATTTCTGATAGCCTCTGTTTCTTGAGGAAACCAAGTTCCCTGGCGCTTGGGTCAGAGGAAAATCTAAGGGTCCCCACAGTTTTGCACCCCAGTGATTTCTTCCCTCAGCAATCAAACATTCTTCCTTCACTGAACAGAGGCTCCTCAATTCACTTGTGCCATACGGCAGGATACTTGCCCAACTCAAAACCTTTCTGAGAGTTAAGTGAGAGCCTTTGCATCTCCTCTTTATTTCCTCTTTTATTGTGTTTTCATCTTTGTTTTCCACAAGAGATCTGTTAGGTTTCCATAAAAGTGAGTACCTCAAGGGAAAATGAGTCCCTTTACTTACCATGACCTTTCCCTTTCCCAGTGATGGTCTTAAGTATTAGTTCATTGGGCAATCTCTTGTTTGCTTAAAAAAACTTCAGTACCTACTATGTCTCTGCCACATATTTCTTTTCTTTTCACATTCCGCTCATTTGTTCAGGGCTGTGCATGTCATGCATTGCAAACCTCTAGGGATACCATCACACAGAACATGAAGTGCCACCTCCCCAGCAGTACTCAGTAGCCCTGCAGTGGTCACCAATGAAGTCCTACTTGAAGGAAATAAGAATTAGAATAATTGAACAACAGAACTGGAAGAGACTTTAAACCAGTGTGTTCTAACACCTTCACATCATGGCGGATACATACAGTGAAAATACTTTTATAGCACGTTGGAATAAACAGACAAAGATGCTTGCAGCTGGAAATGATTGGCTTAAGGGCTGTTGTTGTCCAACTGTGCCTAGTCATCAAGAAAGTCGATCACTATCTTGGCACACTGGTGATCCGTTTGAGATTTAGTGGAGTGCCTGGCACAGCAGCTGGGAAGCTCTGCCTTAAAGATCAGCTAGTCTATTCCACCTTCACATCTGCTGCTTTATAGATTAAAGAAATGAGACCCATTTTCTGACCTCAATGTCATCATGAGTCTGAGGCTTTAAGCTGATAATCTGGGGAAATGGAAGGGTTGGGGAATACAAGACATTTTATCTTTCCACATGCACCCATTTATTTAACCTTCTCTTTAGAATGTTTTAAAGAAGAATTCTTTTTTCCTACTCTAGCCAATACTGGTCTCATTATAAGGAGAGACTCCAAGTTGCATTCAAAAGTAACTGGGAAAAAAATGTGTAACTGAAGGCTTGTTAAATCTTATAATGTTCCTCATGCTGGTGTTTTTTAATAAGGTAAAGCTATTCTTATAGTTGTCTTATAGATTTGATTGCAGAAACTAAAGCTTTGTCTCAGCTGCAGTCCCTAGGTTCTTATAAAAATACAAATTTTATGTAAAATGCTGAAATTAATTTTTTGTGGGAAGAAAAATCTAAGAGAGCACTCAGAGTTGTCAGCCTCAGAGGGTTCATTAAAAGATACCAAGTGACCTCTGCCTCTAGTCAAAAGTACCTGCTCCTGGGAACCTGAGGGAAGGTACCCAAAGTAGCAGAGATAAACTCAATTGCAATTCTCAAATGGCTGTTAACTATTTTTCCTGCATGCTTTGAAAGAGACAGAAAGCAAAAATAAAGCTCTGACCCTCCTCTCTGGAGATCCAGTCACTGAACCAGGGACTTTGGCTTTTGTGAGCATCACTTTAGTTTTAGTTTTTTGAAGCACATTTAAGATTCCTTGCCTTTAAAAATAGACAGATGATAGGCACAGGGGCAGGGGAGGAGGTGTGAGTCTCTGGCTTCAAGTGAATGAGATCATTCTGTAGCCTTCCCATTTCCCAAATTGCAGATGTCACGAGGTGAGAATGAATCCTCAACTTGTTCTGGTTTCCAGGTTACAATCCCTCTGCTTTTTCCCTACTGCCTTGAGGGATTCTGTGGAGTCTGCAAAACCACTTGACAGACAATCATTCTTAAAGGCAGCAGATACACACATAACCCCATTGAAGCTCTTTTACCGAAGAGTTGAAAGCTCTTGTGCATAACAGGTTTAAGTATAAACACGTGTTTTTGACATTCATCATTCCTCCACCCCCTTTAAAGAAGCCATATGTGATCATATTCTGGGAGGCAACACAATCTACAGCAGGTGGGCTCCTTAATTGGCCTGCTTGGGGAGTAGCTAAAGTTAGGTTCAAAAGGTACTGACCTTATGGGTTTGGTTAGTAGGAGTTCGGGAACGAGGCTGTAAAACCTCAACAGAGCCTCTCAGACCCATAGGGAAACAATAGAAGCCGATGTGACTATTTCAGGGAAAGTGACGGAAAGAGAGAATGTGAAGAAGTTGTGATGTTGAATGCCAACCATATTTAGTTGCAAAAATACCCAAGTAATTCCTTCAACAATCCTACGTATAGTCCCATGGGCTCCACTCTGGACGTTTACATTTCTTCATTTGTCTTCTTTCCTGGAGCACATAGGGTAGAGCTGACAGTGATGAAGCACACTGAGGCTTGGGGAACGTCCACAAAGCCACCAAGGTTAATGGCAGAGCCAACACATTTCTGGTCTCATATCTTGGTTGTTCCTGCTTTGATCAGAAATTAAATCATAAGAAGATAATGTCAGAGTGGTGTCTACACAGCAATGAAATGTGGTGATATGATGATGACTGATAGGTTTTCTCAAAAGCAAAGTATATAATTCAAGCCTGAATTACCAACTTAGGTAGCTGATGTTATTAAAATGTGCTGGATAATGAGCAATTAACTTTGTTTTCTGGAGGAATCAGTTTATTTGTTGTGAATGCTTTCGAGATGGGATTTTCAAAACCTATTAATTCAGCTATTATTTATTGAGTGGCTGCTATGTGTGAGGGGCTGTGAAAAAAAACAGTGAAGCGGGCTCAGTCCCTATTCTCAGCAGCTGGTGGTCTAGAAGGAGAGAGAGATTTTTGGAAGAGGTCATCCAAATTCTCCCTGTAGCTGTGATGGGAACACATAGGAGGACCATTAAAAGTAGCCTTGGCTATGGTGGGAGGGGGTGATTAGGAAAGGTTTTCTGGAGGAATATCTAAGATTAAACACGAAAGATAGGTAAGACTTATTTGGTTGAAGAGAGGGCAGAGAGAATGTTCTAGTATTGAAAGTCTGTAAATCTCTGGGGGGTGGAATAGGGGAGCTCTCTCAGGACCTGCCAAGTGTTCAGGTGTGTGAGGCAGCAGCAGTAGGGGCAAACTCCTAAAGGCTGTGTGTCTAGTTTAGTTCCACTGTGCTTGGAATGTGACCTAATCCCATTTGGTTCAAAATACTCCATTTGGGGGTTATTACATACGATTTCTATGATGTTTCTAAAGCTCTGTCCATGATTACACTAATGCAAGAAGGTTTGGCCTTAATGGTTTGGGGAAAGGGACATCAATTAAACACTTCTCCAAGAAAGGAAATTAAGATCTAGTGGAGACTAGAAACAAAGATGGAAATAATAACTTTTGGATGTTGTAGAGTTTCTCAGCATGAAATAACAGAAAGTTCCATAATTTCCATAAGTAACCATTGTCAAGAATTTAGCCCAGCTCCTATTTTATTGTGTCAAATTTTCAGATTACATGCTGGTATTAATTTCTGGAGGAGAATGTTAAGGATAAATGATAAGCTTTCCTGATGGTTATAACTATAATTGGCATGAGTTGTATGTGAATGAACCACATTTTTGCAGTTTTTTTCTTCTGCTTTTGTTAGTACTTTGGCAACAATAATCATTGTTATCGTTGGTAGATTTCCCAGATTCCACCTTTATTTTAACAATAACAAAACCGACAACAATAATAATACTTGACAGATTACAATATACTTCCACAGGCCAACATTCTAACTTTTCCCATTTCCATGATGCATGTCATCTACATGTACATGCAATTAAAATGTAAGTTCTGGATCTAGTTCTTATAAGGTGTCTAGGCCATAGTAAAACATTTAGACATGACTTGGGCTTGAAACCAAGGTCAGTGATTTTTATTTTCTCACCTAAAGGCTCTGTTCTTGATTACAGCATATTGTTGGCTTCCTGTGTTACATCTCTGAGAGAAGTATCAGCTTCTACTGTACTGCCATTTGCAAACCCTCTGATTTGTCCAAGAGGAGTGGGAAGGAAAAGAATGCTTGAAGCTTCTGGGATATGAAATTATTCTTCCCAACAGCTTTGAATTTTCTATTCCCTGCTAGATCTACTCACATGAATCGTGGAACTGTAAACCAAAAAGTATCTGAGTCTGGTCTCAACCAATTTAGAAGTTTATTTTGCCAAGTTCAAGGATGTGTCTGGGAGACGGGTCTGTGCCTTTCTCCAAAGATGATTTTTGAGGAGTTCAATATTTAAAGACGAAAAGCTGACTGGACGAGAAAGAGGGAGGGTATGGTCACATTATCGAATTCACACGTTGCAAGAGAAAGGAAGCAGGTAGGGGGATAGTCAATTATGTATTTGCCTGGTGTCAGTAAATCAGCACTTTATGTAAGATAGGGTGAATATAGAGTAGCTACCAGTGGAGATATGTAGCTTTTATCTGTAGCTATCTGCTTAGAAACAAAAGGAAAGGCAGCTTCTTACATAACTCAGCTTTCAGCTTAATTTTTTTCCTTTTGACATAGTAAATTGGGGTTCCAAGTTTTATTTTCCTTTCACACATCAAAAGAGGAGGAAAAAAATGAATTTTGCTTTATTACTATTCTATATGGACCACTTATTGAACTACATGTTAGGCATGTGAGAGAGATGATTTCCATCATCACAATAAGCCCAAAAGTTAGGTTCCTCATTTTCATTTTTAATGAAACACTTTCAGAGAGATTAAGTAAATTGCCAACATCCACATTGCCATTATTATCAACATGTGATTTCCAAGTCAATGTTCTTTCCACCATGCCATCCTCAAAGGTTCTCCGGCTCCAAGGTGACTTGTTTCAAATCATCCACAACATGTGACGTGTTGAAATTTGTTGGAACCTGTGAATGTCAGGTTGGAGGCCACAGAACTAAAGCAAAGGGAAATGCAAAATTGCTCTGTTAAAATGACAAATATTCCAGAGGCAGCTAATTAGTATGATAACCTATGCATAAAAGAGAATTGTAAAATTAGTGAGATCAGCCTTGCAATACCATTAACCATATTATAACTCTTTATGTGATTTTTCCCCATCATGAAGTGGTCTTGAAAATGCCTGATCTCAATTTGCTTTATCATATGGTGTAGCTCATCAGTGCCACACACTACTGTGAATACTGTGGTTTTCACAGTGGGATATTTTTTATCTCTGCAAACTGGTAAATTAAAATAATTTCACCTAGGGTGATCCTGCAACAAAAATATACTGGTGACCTTGACAGCATTTCTGTATTTTTTTTCCCTTCTCATTTGCTTTCTGATAATTTTCTTTTCTTTTTGCTCTGAATCACCTACTCTAGGGTAAAAAGGCCCAGACAAAGTAAGAGGTCAGTCTTGTGTACCCGAGTCCTTTCTTCAAGAGGCAGGTTACTGGGAAAGATGAGAGCTTTATTCGATGGAACAGTGGGAAAAAAAAGATGCCAGGTTAGATAGAGCTAAGCCATTAGAGTTCTTCTAGGAACAGTACTTGTGGGCTAGCAGGTTTGGAAAAGTTGGGAGAACGTAAGCACAAATTACATCCACAAATTAGGCTGGAGACAGTTGCGACATTCAATGGTTGCCATGAAACTATCCCACAAAGGAAGGATGAGAAAAGTCGGGTACCATGATTGCAGAGAAGTGCTTGGGAAAGGTGACTAGTTTGATCAGGTTTGTTCCAGGAAGTGACAGCACAACTATGTGAACTCTGCTTCCCTTTCACTGTTCATCTCATCCCAACTTCCCTCCTCCATTTTGTAACTTTACTACCTTGAAGCCCTTTCTGGCAACTCCACATATTACAAAAGGATTTCAAATTTGAGCCAGAAAGCACACAGGGCTGGAGGCAAAAAGGCTGATTTGCGAACTTGGGCCTTATGAAGTTCATGTGGGAAGAGGAATTCATTTATATGAAATACATTGTTGACCCACAATAGCTTGTGATGTTTGTCATCATGTTACATGTTTTGTGATTTTACTTTGAGTTGAATTTGGTTTGTCACAGTTCAAAAAAACCAGAATCTGCACAGTGCCTGATATATTAAGGGCTCTCAAATGAATGAAAAAAATAACTAGATAAATTGGTGCCTGTCTGCTTATAATTGAGATATGCTAACATGAGCTGTCAAAAGAGCTTGTGTTAATCATAAGGAATAAACTAGGAACAAAACATGATTTGCAGAGGAAAGATAAGATATAAACTTTCATTCATTTACTTACTAACTCATTCAGATTATTCATTCATTTATTAATTTTACACATATTCTATAAATGAATTTTCTATTTTGTGCTAAGCAGTGTGCTAGGTTCTGAAAAAAGTGTGAAAAGTAAAACAGTAATGGGCCTTTCCCTTGAGCATTTGTATTCTAGTGGAGAGTGAATAATAAATATCAATTTATAAGTTAATAAAAGTGAAAGTAATTTTGAGGGTTCTTGGATGGATAGTACTTAGATAATGCAGTTATTAAGGAATCCTGTTCAAGGCTACTTGAAAGAAAAGGTGCTGTTCTAGGAGTCAGAGGTGGAGGGTTCCACAGAGCTGGATATTCTGGGCAAATGCCCCAACACAGCAAGGAACTTGTGGCATTCAAGGACTGAAAGAGGAGTCATGAGCTGGTAGGCTGAGCTAGAGGAGGCTGGTCTGTGATGAGGCTGGACAGTGGGACACATACCAAATTTTGCAGGGTTGTGTAGTAAAACCCCAATTAACAACAGATTGTGTTGCCAAAACTCATTTGTAAGATCACTGCAGGAAGCTTGGAAGACATTTACTCACAGAAAGAATATTATAAATGATTGTCAGCTGTCTAGCCTGCAATGATCTACTTAACTTATAATATCTCAATAGCCAAACCTCTGAAGGTGATAGTTTCAGAAGGAAAAGGCATTGGCTTACAATTTGGACAGTGAGGAGACTCCTATCTTTACCATTCCACCAGCTCCAGCACAGAGTGCCTCCCTGGCAATTCCAAGTATGAGCTGACTTTTTCAGAAGGACGTTCCTCATCATGCTTATTATGCTAAAGCGCCATTCCTATTCTACCAGGGGTAATGTTTTCCTGTTTCAAATTTTGTTTTGTTTCTAATCGTTAAGAATACATTTTTCATTTTACCAAGCGTCTTTTGTATAATTACAAAATACTACATGGGAGGAAACTTTTTGTTAAAAGAAAAAAAAAGGTGGGGTGGGGGAGGTTGTTTTGATAGCTGTGTACTAGGTTCCTTATCCCTGTACCCCTCTTGCCTTCATGATTGTGGGGCTTCATCCCCACATGTGGCACAGTCACTAGGGCTGCCAGATTTAGCAAGTAAAAATACAAGATGCCCAGTTAAATTTTAATTTCAGGTAAATAATTTTTTAGTATATTTCCCAAATAATATAAAAAATGACTAATACTAAATAAAAAAATCATTTATCTAAAACTCAGACTTAACAGGTGTTCCATTATGTGTGTGTGTGCATGTGTGTGTGTGTGTGAGAGAGAGAGAGAGAGATAGGGTCTTGCTCTATTGCCCACGCTGGAGTACAGTGGTACGATCTTGGCTCACTACAACCTCCGCCTCCCAGGCTCAATCCATCCTCCCATCTCAGCCTTTTGAGTAGCTGGGACTACAGGCACCTGCCACCGCATCCAGCTAATTTTCATATTTTTGAAGAGACAGAGTTTTGCCATGTTGCCCAGGCTGGTCTCAAACTTGTGAGTTAAAGCAATCCGCCTACCTTGGCCTGCCAAAGTGTTGGGATTTATAGGCATGAGCCATTGTGCCCGGCCGTGTTCCATCCTTTATCTGACCACTCTAGACAACTGTGCCCTCAGTTGGGATGTAAGATGCGGGCCAGGAGGTCAGTGGCTCAGCTTTACTGTGGCTCCTTTGCTGGGTTTGTCCCCAGGCTTAGTGGCTGGACTTCTGCCCTGGTCCCTTCTTTCCTGAGTGACCCTTGATTGTCTGCTTAATGTCCTAGTTCTTTGGAAGGCTTGGGTTGATTCTTCCCTACACATGCCTCAGGGACTTGTATCCTATACCCAAATAAATTCTTTGGGTGAGTCCCTACCATTTGCTTCCAGGCTTCCCTGATAAGTTTAGTGCAGAGGAAGGGAAGAACAGGCTTTGGACATAAAGATAGTAGAATTCTCTCTAATTATCTTCACCTGTGAAAACTTGTGTTTAATATCTCTGACCATTAGTGTTTTTAATCTGTACAATGGTGTAATAATAATATACTTATGGGATTGTTATGTGGATTTCTTATTGTAGTTGCTCAATAAATGTGACAGACTTTCCACCTGTCATGATTATACACAGGTTTACTGGTTGGCCACTTTATACTGTTTGCCTATTGAACCTCTTCCTGTTCACGGATGCTAGGGAGTCTCTAACACCTAATAGATTTCAGGCTCTATAAAGTCCTCTATGGGTGTGACTATATTCCTGAGTACTGAGAATAAGTATATGTTAAGTGAATGAATAAGATACCTGGCCCACTGATATTGTTTGCCTGACTGGTTTCTAGGTCCCAGCCATCTAATTTCTGTCTTCAGACATGGTATCACTCAGCCCTCTAATATTGTAGGCTCCTATGAGAGTCTTATTCCCTTTCCCATCCCCAGTCCTTAGTGGTTAGTGGGGCAGTTGGTCAGCCTGCAATAAGAATAGTGTGATTGCCTGATGGGTTCATCTTGCCTCCTGCCCAGAAAAACTAATGCATAAAAAACAGCAGGTTTTTGCAGGAAAGAGTTTAATAATCACAGGGCCAGCAAAACAGAAGGATGGGGGTTAATTCTTAAATCAAAATGCAAATCAGAATGCAAAAAGTCTAGAAAACATTAGAAAAAAACAATCTTAGGTTCTTTAGTAATGACATTATCTATAGGAGCAATTGAGGAAGTCACAAATCATGTGACCTCTAGCCACGTGACTCCCGAGTAGTAAGGGATTATAGAAATTACATCTACATTTTAGCAGAATTCAGGTCTGTCCCATAATCCTAATCTTGTGGCCTTTGATCAGTCTTACAAAGGCTGTTTCAGTCCCCTAAACAAGGAGGAGGTCAGTTTAAGGCAGGGACTACTATCATCCTTGCTTCAAAGTTAAACCATAAACTAAATTCCTCCCATGGTTCGCTTGGCCTACATCTAGGAATGAGCAAGGAGAGCCAGCCTGTGAGGCTAGAAAAAAGACAGAGTCAGCAATGCTACATTTCTTTCGCTGTCATAATCTGTAAAGAGGTGGTTTCAATCATCCGTATGGCCCTCTGCAAGTCTCTCTTCTATCCTAATACTAGGTAGATGCATATCTATCCTAATCCTGGATTTAGTTCACCTCTTACCTATGTACCATTTTGATTTCAAGGCTTTTCAGCTATCTACATGAGCACATAGTGTCTAGTCCATTTGCCACAGCTTTGAGGCCCCTGTAATTGGGTCCCCTGAGCTCCTCATTAAAGTGCCATGCTTGGTTGAGAAGGACCTGTTGTTTGCCTCTTTGTGTCTTTTGTAGATGCTGTAGGTCTTTGAAGGCTCCATACCCAATACTCTCCTAACACAAATCTGGAATGTACTTTATGACCAGCTATGCCCAATCTGTTTGATGTCCATTCTATATGAACAAACATGGGCATTCAAAAAACTTGAACTTTTAGTGTTGGCTGTGAGGCCCTACTCTTTAACGCCAAGATTTTCCACCACCCAAGATCTAGTTTTTAGTGGTGCTGGCCAAGCCTGTCACATGGGTGCTGTGTTCTAAAGCCAGGAGAGACCGAGGAACCTAAGACAGACAGCTTGGGCTGTTCATCTCACTATTAAGTCTTTCCTAGCCTCTTTCTCTTCCCAAAGAGCTGCCTGTGGGAATAGAGACTTCCCACCAGCTCTCTAGCTCTCCTCTACTTCCCACCCCTCACTAACTTTTTTAAAAAAATGTAACTGGGCGTGGTGGCACACGCCTGTAATCTCAGCTACTCAGGAGGCTGAGGCAGGAGAATCACTTGAACCTGGGAGGCAGAGGTTGCAGTGAACCGGGATCAAGCCACTGCACTCCAGCCTGGGTGAGACAGTGAGACTCGGTCTCCAAAAAAAAGTAACTGAAGCTAAAGAAAAGAAAAAGTATCACATTATAGCATTGAGGATTAGAATATGGCAATATGCATTTCTCAATTTCCTCCACAAAAACAACACAACAATCTCAAACTAAACTTCTTGGACTTATTTCTTAGTCAGAAGTAGCTAACTTCCCAATTAATGTTTAAAACAAAGTTAAAAATTCCTCCTCTAGGCAGCTCTATCCAGAGATAGCTTCTAGCTAAGAGAAGCTGGTAATTTGCATATAAAGACTTCTTTTAATTACTCTCTAAAACCTGCAGTTTTTACAAGCTATGTCTGACATAAACTGCTACTGTATCTTGTTGCAAAAGAATTCTTGTGAACCTAACTCCAGAGAGATCAGTCTTGAATGGAGAAAGAGGTTTCCACATAGTATTGAGACCTAATGGCCAAATTTCTCTCCTACTTCTAAATCTCTTGGATCATTGTCTCTAGGAGCTAGTAAGGGGCTTAACACCAAGAGCAAAACTCACTAAATAATCCTTGAATTGGATTAGGGCCTTTTACTTTTATGCATATCTAGTTTGATCATAATTTGTTCAGTTTAGGACTCTTAACCTTGACACTATTGACATTTTGGATCAGAAAACTTTTTTTTGATGGGGGCACTTTCCTGTCCACTGTAGGATGTTTAGCAGCATTCCTGACCTCCATCTACTAGATGCGAGTTATACCTACCAGTGGGACAACCAAAAATATCTCCAGTCATTGCCAAATACCCGCTGGGGGAACATCACCACCTCCATTTGAGAAACACTGCTCCAGTTAGATCCAAATTAGGCTGAGCAGAAAGAATTGCGAAGAGGGAAAGAACGAAAGGCCGTCTGTTGATACATAGATTTCCTTTATGTCCTTTGGAATTTACCTCTCCCGTCTCCTCCTTTCTGATTACCTTGAATGTCATTGTTCCTAATCTAAAAGAAGTGGCTAGAGATATTAGGATGTTTGTTCTTAAGGCACCAGGAAAATGAAATTAAACAGGTGTTTGAGAAAGGGAATTGTAAAATCTGGAATAGAAATAGAGGGTGAATACGTCCTCCCAAATTTTCTATAAGTCACAGCTTCTCAAAAAAATTCATGTTTAGAAGAGACGTATGTGTCAGTGGAGGAAGTGTAATGATAATATTCAGTAATTGAGTACGTACTATGTTCCAAGTTTTCTTGTCACATAGATTTTTGTTTGTTTGTTTGTTTCTCACTGCCTGTATAATCAGGTCTTTATTCAAAAGAAGCTGTCCACAATGATTTGACCTTTATGGAATAATCAAATTTAAGAGTTAATGCAGCAGGCTTCTTTTCCTCTACAGTAGGTTTCTTTTCTGCAGGCTTCTTTTCAGGGGCTGATTTCTTGGTAGCTGCTGCCTTTTTTCCCACCAGAGGCTTCTTCTGCTTCTTCACACCAACAGCAGCCTTCTTTCCTTTCTTACCTACCACAGGCTTCTTGCCTGCAACCGCCGCCTTCTCATCTGGTTTGGCTTCTAGTGCTGCTGCAGCAGCAGCTGCCTTATCCATCCGGAGCTTGTGATTCCTGGCCTGGCGAAGAATGGTGTTCCGGCGCATGGTCTTTGCATATGGGTTTAGCTTCAACATGATTCTCAAGTTTTTCAGTGGGTTCTTCTTTAGGACTCTGCGATGAATCTTCTTGCTTGGTGCCCGAAAGGCTCTTTGGATCTCTGGGCTTTTCAAGATTCTGCTAAGATCTGTATTAATCATCTTGTGCATGGGAAGATTGTAGTTACTCTTGAGGGAAGCGGCTTTACGCCAAGTGCCATACAATTCATCCAACTTCCGGAAAGCACTTCCAGTCCAAATGCAGAAACGTCCCACGTGCCCACCAGGAGCAAGCTTCGAAATGGTCAGCTTGCTTACATTAAGCAGAGTAATTGCAGGGATGTTTCTGAAGGCCTTGATACCATTATCCTCATTATAGATGATGCACGGGCCCCTGCGCTGGATACGGCGACGGTTTCTCATTTTGCCTTTGCCAGCTCTCATTCGCTGAGAGGCATAGACCTTTTTGATATCGTTCCTGGCTTTAAGTTTCTTAAGGAGCAAAACAGCTTCCTTGGTCTTCCTGTAGCCTTCAACTTTATCTTCGACTACCAAAGGAAGTTCAGGAACTTCCTCAATACGATGACCTTTAGACATGACCAGTGCTGGTAGGGCTGAGGCAGCCAGGGCAGAACAGATGGCATACCGTTTTTGGGTTGTGTTCACTCTACGATGCCAACGGCGCCAGGTTTTGGTTGGTGCAAACCTTCGGCCTCCACGACACATGTTTCCAAAAGCACCCTGGCCGGAGCGGTGAGTCCCACCACCTCGAACTCTGGGAATTCGAGCCACAGCTCTGCCAGTACCCCAAGACTCAGTGCTGGTCCGATGACCTGCTAATTCACTGGCAGCGTAGGGCTGTCTGTTGTTTTTGCGCAAGTTGGTGTGAACAAAGTTCACGATGTCTGGTCGAATAGGAGCCTTGAATACAGCGGGCTAAGTGACATTTTTGCCAGATGACTCCCCCTTTTCGGAGTACAGCGACATCAGTGGGCGGACACACGCCATGGCGGAGAGAGTAGACAGCCACTCTCCTCTCAGCCCGGCTGCTGCCCCCAGGAAAAAGCGTCACGTAGATTTTTATCAGTTACTCTTAATAATAAACAATTTGGTAAGTTCAATATTATTATCATCCCCATTTCACAAAGAGAACGAGGAGGCTCAGAAGGAAGTAACTTGTCCCGGATCACCCAGATAGGAAGTGACGGACATGAGAGAGATTCAAATAAAGACCTTCAGATTAGCAAAACCGTGTTCTTCCTCCTTGAACATGTCCTTCATTGTGCCAGTTTTGGCACTCTCAACCCACAGGAAAAGATTTCTGTTCTTTTGGGGACTTTGTATAAGGTGGTTTTACATTAGTCAAGTCTTATTTTAATATGCCAGGAGATAATATATGCATATCTCTGTGCCAGTTCCCCCTCCCCCAATGCTTTCTGTAAAGTGATTTTTTTCTGGTTGTCTGGTTAAGGACTCTTGACCTACATAATTAAGCCATTTTTCCACAGTCCAGTCTGTTCATTATTTTCTGCACGTTGGCACCTTCCGCCTTTTGAATAAATAACACCTAATAAAGATAACTCCATACAATTTGCATAGAGGATATATATTTGACTGAGAACATATGTTTGATGAGGTGTTCCTGCTTATTACCCAAATATTTAAACAATGCTAATAAAAGAAGCTGCTGTTATGTTACATTGTTGAAGCTAATGTTTATAATGTTCATTTCCAATGGGGCATAATACAAGCTTGCATATAACGGAAGAGCATTTGCCAGTCTTTTTTCTCTGCAATATTATAATGAAATAATCATTTTCCTCTCCTTTCTGGCATAAAATTTGAAACAGAATTACGGAATCATAGACGTTCACAACTACAAGGGGAGTTGGAGACCTGGCTTGAAGTCTAGATCGGCCACCTCCACGCTGTACCACTTTAGACTCATCATTTAACTTTGTGAGCTTCACTTTTTCCTCTTAAAATTGCGATAATATTATATGTCTCATAGATCCATTGGGATGACTAATAAGTAAATGTATGTGAAAATGCGATGTAAATATTAAAATGACATATGAACTTAAATTCAGTAAGTAGATAATTAGTACCTACTGTACAAATCATTTTGCTATGGACCCAAAAGGAAGTAAGAAGAAACCCTCGACTTCAAGGAATTCTCCCTCTAGTGGAAGAAACAGATCTATAAACAAGTAACAGTAATGTAAATTATACTGCAAGCCCTATAAGAGAGGACAGCAGAAACAACAGAGGAAAAAGTGACAGGGTCGGCTGTTGAAATGCTTATCAAAGAGTGGGCATTTGAACTAAGTTATGAAAGATTATTAGGGTTTGGACAGGCTAAAAGGGTAGATGGGCAATCCAGATCAAGAAAATGACCAACGCAAAATGAGACGGCATGTTTTGGGGTCGTAATTTGTCTAGAGTAGTTGAGTGAAAAGATTCGAAATGGAGATGGACAGAGGAAACTGACGGTTTAGAAACATTGTTCCTGTGACAGCAGGAAGTATGGAATAAAAAATGGCAGCTGGCACATGGATTGATCAGTTGATTGGCCCTTGTAATAATTCTATTGGAAGAAGACAGTAGAATCAGGGTTTCATGTGTCGGTGAAAAGATTGAGTAATTTTGAAAATACATTTTGGTTCTGGACTATGCTCCTCTGAACACAAATATACTTCTGAGATTGGACAACATGGCCCAGATTCACAAGGGTCATGGAAAAGTAGGAGTTACGGAGATGAAGTTATAGGAAAGAAGGTGTAGGATGTTTAGAGGATCTCCCAGGAAGAAAGGACCACATGGGTGTAGACCTCTGTTGGTAATAATGAAACAACAAAACTAGCAGCAGAATACCAAGAGAATAGAGAATGAGCGGTGAGAATGAGGCTGACATTGTAGGCAGGGGACAGATTATGTGTGGCCTTGAAAGCCAAAATGGGGCAGGGAGTTTTAGAAAGAAGGAGGGTCATGACTTCCTTTGAGGCAGAGCTCAGACCTCCAGATCACCAAATGACAGCTGTTCTTTGGACCGAAGACCTTTAGTAATAACCACTAAATTGGCCAATAAAAATTTTCTGATCTCTAAATGTAAGTCCAACAACCACTTGCCAGAGCATCACATAATTGTGCAAAATAGGTTAAATGTTTTTGTTGTGACTTCTTAGGAGTGTACATTTGGAGGTTATGTCAGAACCTCCTCTCATCTCTTCCACCTCTTCTCCACCCAAAGCTTGCACCCTCTGTGGAATGAAAGTCAGAGAGCTCGAGCCAGCTCCACAGTGGCGCCTTCCTTCCTAACTTTCTTTGTGCTGTACTGTTGTTATTTTCTAAGCGGTGAGTGAGGGCAAGACAGAGTGTCAGTCTCCCCTCAGAACACACACTGAAAATAGAAAATAAGATGCATTGTGACATTTTAGCTAAGAGACCTTTCTCTGGCTTTGGGAAAAGCCAGCTGAACAGGCACTTATTGTCACACAGCTAGAAGAAAACTACATAGCCCAAATGTCACCTCGGAGCTTATTTGCTGTTATATTTTCAGCGTACATTTGATTATTCTTCCTTTTCATTCTTAACGATAAGGGGTTAAAGCCACTCCAGCTCTACTTTTCTTCTCATAAAAGTCTCTCCCCACTTCTCATAAAAGCCACCTATGCATGAGCAAAACTCACACAGTTTTTTTCCTGTTTCATATTGGTAAGAGTACATTTACAAACACGTCTTTACCTGAAAGGTATGGATTCACTTAAACTTATTCATATTTTTTCAGATAAATTAGCCAAAATTGCCTATGAGAGAAAGCTTCATTTTGGACATTTCAAGTTCTTTGCTCTAAACAATAACTAATGCTCTCTTTCCTTAGTCTTCTTACTACTCAACTATATAAGGAGACAAGATTACATAAGTAAAAAGAACAAAAATGTTGGAAGCATTCTGATCTGTGTTTCTGCATTGGCATGCTGGCTCACTAGCTGCGTGGCTTAGGCCAACTTCCATTATGCCTCAGTTTCCTCATTTGTTAAATGATCATAATGAGAGTATGTGCCATATAAAATCATATTGAGGATTAAATGAGATAATATATGTAAAACATCTAACTCATTTGCCAGTAAATGTTAGAAGACCTAAACTAGCCCAGGGTGGTTCCATTTAGGTCAGTGGCTTCTGACAGAAAATGGGGTGCAAAGGATGGATGGAGGGCTCCTTTGTTTTTTGGTCCCAGTGTGGCCTGAGGAAGCACAGGAGAGGGTGTCAGAGTCTGAAGAGCATAACTGCACTTGAGTTCCAGGAGCAGACCCTGGGGACACAGATCAGAATGCTTCCTAGCTCACAAGGCCCATCTTCCATGTGGGCTTTTATTCTTCTGGGTCTCATGGAGGCAATGAGGAAGGTCTGTTTGACTCAGGTGCTAGGGAGGGAGGACAGTACAGAGGGCCCTGGGTGTGCCCTTTACCAGCTCTGTGCTGTTGACAATGCATTTAACCCCCTGTGCCCTGGCTACCTCATCTATAAACTGGCCAGGGTTGTTGGGAGAATAAAATGAGGTGATATCAGCTAACATTTAGCAGGAGCTAATAGTTTTTGAGGACTGATCATGTGCCAGGCCCTGGTCTAAGGACTTCACATGCATTCACTCATTTAACTCCGAACATCCTGTGAAATTGGTGTTATTCATCTAATTCTACAGATGAGGCTCAGAAATATAAAGAAACATAAACTACCCAAGGTGACTTAGCTAACAGGTGAAAGAGGCAGGATTCAAATAGGCTACTCAGCTTCAGAGCTGTGGTCTTAAAAGCCTAAGGTGAGATGGATTTACAGCTGAATTCTACCAGAGGTACAAAGAGGAGCTGGTACCATTTCTTCTGAAACTATTCCAAACAAAAATTGAAAAGGAGGGACTTCTCCCTAACTAATTTCATGAGGCCAGCATCATCCTGATACCAAAACTTGGCAGAGATACAACAAAAAAAGAAAACTCCAGGCCAATATCTCTGATGAACATCCATGTGAAAATCCTCAATAAAATACTGCAAACTGAATCCAGAAGCACATCAAAAAGCTTACGCACCATGATCAAGTTGGCTTCATCCCGGAGATGCAAGGCTGGTTCAACATATGCAAATCGATAAACATAATTAATCGCAGAAACAGAACTAAAGACAAAAACCACATGAGTATCTCAATAGTGCAGAAAAGGCCTTCGATAAAATTCAACATCCCTTCATGTTAAAATCTGTCAATAAACTAGGTATTGGTGGAACATATCTCAATAAGAGCCATTTATATCAAAGCCGCAGCCAATATCATACTGAATGGGCAAAAACTGGAAGCATTCCCCATGAAAACCAGCACAAGACAAGGTTGCCCTCTCTCCCTACTTCTATTCAACATAGTATTGGAAGTTCTGGCCAGGGCAATCAGGAAAGAGAAAGAAATAAGGGGTATTCAAATAAGAAGAGAGGAGGTCAAACTGTCTCTGCAGATGACATGATCCTATTTCTAGAAAACCCCATCATCTCAGCCCCAAAGCTCCTTAAGCTGATAAGCAACTTCAGCAAAGTCTCAGGATACAAAATCAGTGTGCAAAAATCACAAGTTTTCCTTTACACCAACAACAGACAAGCAGAGAGCCAAATCATGAGTGAATTCTCATTCACAATTGCTGCAAAGAGAATAAAATACCTAGGAATACAGCTAACAAGGGAAGCGAAGGACTTCTTCAAGGAGAACTACAAACCACTCCTCAAGAATATAAGAAACAACACAAACAAATGGAAAAACATTTCATGCTGTGGATAGGAAGAATCAATATTGTGAAAATGGCCATACTGCCCAAAGTAATTTATAGATTCACTGCTATTCCCATTAAAATTGTGACATTCTTCACACAATTAGAAAAAACTACTATGAAGTTCATACAGAACCAAAAAAGAGCCTGTGTAACCAAGACAATCCTAAGCAAAAAGAACAAAGCTGAAGGCATTTTGATACCTGACTGCAAAGTATACCACAAGGCTACAGTAACCAAAACAGCATGGTACTCATACAAAAACAGACACATAGACCAATGAAACAAAATAGAGATCTCAGAAATAAGAGCATACATCTACAACTATCTGATCTTTGACAAACTTGAGAAAAACAAGCAATGGGGAAAGGATTCCCTATTTTTTTTTTGAGTTGAGATCTTGCTCTGTTGCCCAGGCTGGAATGCAGTGATGTGATCTCAGCTGCAACCTCTGCCTCCTGGATTCAAGCAATTCTCATGCCTTAGCCTCCTGAGTAGCTGGGATTACAGGTGTGCACCACCATGCCTGGCTAATTTTCATATCTTTAATAGAGACGGGACTTCATCATGTTGTCTAGGCTGTTCTTGAACTCCTGACCTCAATCTGCCTGCCTTGGCCTCCCAAAGTGCTGAGATTCCAGGCATGAGCCACTGTGCCTGTCAAGGATTCCCTATTAATAAATAGTGCTGGAAAACTGGCTAGCCATATGCAGAAAATTGAAACTGGACCCCTTCCTTATACCTTATACAAAGTTTAACTCAAGATGGATTAAAGACTTAATGTAAAACCCAAAACTATAAAAACCCTGGAAAAAAATCTAGGCAATACCATTCAGGACTTAGGCATGGGCAAAGATTTCAAGCCAGAAACACCAAAAGCAATTGCAACAAAAGCAAAAATTGGCAAATGGGAGCTAATTAAACTAAAGAGCTTCTCCACAGCAAAAGAAACTTATTACCAGAGTAAACAGACAGACTACAGAATGGGATAAAATTTTTGCAATCTATCCATCTGACAAAAGGCTTATATCCAAAATCTACAAGGAACTTAAACAAATTTACAAGAGAAAAGCAAACAACTCCATCACAAATTGGGCAAAGGACATGTACAGACACTTCTCAAAAGAAGACATTTATGCAGCCAACAAACATATGAAAAACTCAACATCACTGATCATTAGATAAATGCAAATCAAGACCACAATGAGATATCGTGTTATGCTGGTCAGAATGGCAATTTTTAAAAAGTCAAGAAACAATAGATGCTGGTAAGGCTGTGGAGAAATAGGAATGCTTTCACACTTTCGGTGGGAATGTAAATTAGTTCAACCATTGTGGAAGACAGCGTGGCGATTCCTCAATGATCTAGAACCAGAAATACCCTTTGACCCAGCAATCCCATTACTGGGTATATACCCAAAGGAATTTAAATCATTCTATTATAAAGATACATGCACATGCATGTTCATTGCAGCACTATTCACAATAGCAAAGACATGGAATCAACCAAAATGCCTATTAATGATAGACTGGATATAGAAAATATGGTACATTTACACTATGGATACTATGTAGCCATAAAGAGGAAAGAAGTGATGTCTTTGCAGGGACATGGATGGAGCTGGAAGCCATTATCTTTAGCAAACTAATGCAGAAAGAGAAAACCAAACACCTCATGTTCTCACTCATAAGTGATAGCTGAACAGTGAGAATGCATGGACACAGGGGAACAACACACACTGAAGCCTGTTGGAGGGTAGGGTGGGAGGAAGGAGAGCATTAGGAAAAATAGTTCATGCTGGGCTTAATACCTAGGTGATAAGTCATTAGGTGCAGCAAACCACCATGGCACGCATATACCTATGTAACAAACCTGCATGTCCGGCACATGCATCCCAAAAACCTAAAAAAAAAAAAAAAAAAAAAAGGGCTACACTTTCTAGGCCAGTGGTTCTCAAAGTGTGGGAGCAGTAGCTGCAGCAGCAGCAGCAGCATCACCTGAGAAGTTATTAGAAATGCAAATTTTCTGCCTGACACCAGACCTCCTGAATCAGAAACTCTGAGGGTCCGACCCAGCAGTCTGTGCTTCAACAAGCCACCCAGTGGATTCCGACATAGTCGCAAGTTGGAGAGCCTACTGCTCTAGACTAGGGGTTGGTAAATTACAGTAGCCACCTGTTTTTGTATATAAGGTTTTTTAGGAACATAGAGATGCCTATTCATTTAGATGTTGACTGTGGGTGCTTTTAGACTACAGTGCCAGAGTTGTCAGGATGTGCAATAAATATTTGTTAATAAATATGAGTTTGATTGTAGAGACCATCCGGCTTGCAAAGCGTAAAATATTTACTATCAGCTCTTTAAGAAAAGTTTTGCAGACCATCAGTCTAGGCAATACAATGAAAGTCCCTAACACAGTGCCAGTACACAGTAGGTACCCAATAAGTGTATTATTAAGTGCTGAGAAAGCATGACCCAGTGACTTACAGAGGCCAAAGTGCTCTTATGCCATTGGGGAAGGGTGGGCAGGATCAGTGCAGAACTGGTCCACAATTAATTAATATGTCCTTACTTATGATCCAGATGCAGCTGAGCAATTTGGTCATGGTGCCACTCAGTTCTCACCAAGTGGGGAATAGGAAAGGAGTATCTTACTTTTTGGAGTCATTACCCTGCTGTGTTTTTTTTTACAAATGACCCTACTGTCCCTGGGATAGCTTGCTCAGAGGCACGGGTTTTGGAATCTGGAGTGCCTACCATAGCGCTCTGGACCTTCGGCTTCCATCTGACTCTCCAGCAGAGAGAATCCTTGATTTCCACGTATCACTGGGAAAAAAAGAGTTGATGGTTGGATTATTGTTTTTCTTCCATATTCCTTCTTCCTAGTTCACAGTCTGTTTTGAGTTTAAATATAAACTCAAACTATGTATTTAACAAATATTTATTGCACATTCTGTCATGTACCAGAGATTAATACACCTACAGTTTTTTTGGTGGACAACTGTTCATCGAGTTAGGTCCGGTATTATCCAGATGGCAAAGCCGAGGTTTCAGAAACGGTGATTGAGGTCCAAGTGTTATGAGCTAAAATGCTGTGTTGCCAGGACTTGAACCTTTATCATCTCCATAGTCCTGAACCCAGCAGGCCTCAGCCTCAGCTTGCTGCCTTCCATGATATTTTTATTTTTATTTTCTGAGACAGGGTCTTGCTTTGTTGCCCAGGCTGGAGTACAGTGACGTGATCAAAACTCACTGCAGCCTCTATCTCCCAGGTTCAAATGACCCTCCCACCTCAGCCTCTAGAGTAGCTGGGACTGTAAGTAAGCGCCACCATGCCCAGCGAATTTTCGTAGTTTTTTTTAAGAGATGGGATTTCGCCATGTTGCCCAGGCTGGTCCTGAACTCTTGGGCTCAAGTGATCCACCTTCCTCAGCCCCCTCAAAGTGCTGGGATTATAGGCATGAGCCACTGTGCCCAGCCCCATGGTCTTGATTTCAGTTTCAGCTTCAGGAGTAAACTAGCCCAGTTAGAACACCTGTGTCTTTTCCCAAGGCCTCCTTTGTTTTGGGGGAAAAGTCTTGCCTCCTACTGAGCAAATCAGCTAGCCCAGGGGTGTCCTCCTCTCTGTGTAGGAGGCTTAGGGGCCAGGGTTCTGGCAAAAAAACAGACGGCATACTTGAATGCAGTGCTTGCAGAGGGTTTAATAAAGGGTTCAGGAGCAGCTATTTAGTTTGTGGGGCCCAGTGCAAAATAAAAACGGGGGGCCAGGCCGGGAACAGTGGCTCTCACCTATAATCCTAGCACTTTGGGAGGCCAACGCAGGCAGATCGCTTGAGCCTAGAAGTTTGAGACCAGCCTAGGCAAGACTGGCAAGCCTCCATTTCTACAAAAATTACCTAGGTGTGGTGGTGCACATCTGTAGTCCCAGCTGCTTGGGAGGCTGAGGTGGGAGGATCGCCTGAGCCTGGGAAGGTTGAGGCTGCAGTGAGCTGCAGTCGTGCCACTGCACTCCAGCCTAGGCAACAGAGTGAAGCCCCATCTCAAAAAATAAAAGTAATAAAAATAAAATGGGGGCCTTTGTTCAAAAATTATTAATAATCTCAAGTATTAAAGCAAGTGTAGGCACTTCTAAGCTTGGAACTCTGTGAGACTGTGTGAGTCATACTCCTATGAAGCTATCCCTGAATGGACTGTTTGCAAGAGTATGGATAGGATTTTTGAAGACTGCTAGGAAGTGATGCCGTACCCTAGGTATAGGAGCACTGTGAAGCCATTACTACTTCTGGGATTGAAGGGACAAAAGGAAGAAATAATGACCGGAAGACTATAACCCAGAGAGAGTAGCTGTATAGAAACAGCCTTCAGTAAAGGAGATGATCTGCAGGGGCCCAGCAATGAGGGATGGGGTAAATTCTCTGACCTCATTCTCCCCTGCCCACTTTTCCCCTGCTGGGAACCCAAGGGGAAGTTAGAGAGCAGGAAGCCTGCAAGAGTCCTGAGCTCAGAACAGGGGAGAAGGTGGAGAATGAGACTGGAGTGACTAACAGAAAATGGTCAGCCTCATCAGCATTCAGGGATTCATGCCATCTGGGATTCAAGACCCTCCACCTACTCGCTCCATCCTATCTTTCCAGGTGTTTCTCCCTCTATTCCCCTCTATTGAGACCTCTCAAAAATTGTCACAGCATTCTTAAAGGTAAGCCCTCAAAACTCTCATGGTATAACCAGAAGACCCACTTTTTCCTCTTAAAACATTTTAGCAATTTATATTATAAGCCATAGAGAATTGAGTTTCTTTTGGTTTAAAAAACAATTTCTCCACCTCCCAATTTTTCAAGTAAAAGTGACTTCTATGGATTGAATTGTGTCCCTCTCCCCCACCAAATTCATACGTTAAAGTCTTAATCCCCAAAGTAAGTGTATTTGGAGGTAAGACTTTTTGGAGATAATTAAGGTTAAAGGAGGTCATAAAAGTAGAGTCCTAATCCAATAAGATTGGTGGCCTTATAAGAAGAGGAAGGAAGAGAGCTTTCTCTCTCTCCCTCTCCCTGAGTGCATGCACTAAAGAAAGACATGTGAAGCAGAATGAGAAGGTGGCTGTCTGCAAACCAGGAAGACAGCCCTCACCAATAACCCAGTTGGCCAGTGCCTTGATCTTAGTCTTCCCAGTCTCCAGAACTGTGAAAAATAAGCCACTTTGTTCATGGCCTTTCATTATGGCAGCATGAGCTGACTAAGACAGTGACATTATAGAAAGATGTGCCTTTTCTTGTACCCTGGCTTTGGTAAAACTCTATAAATCCTAGTTCAAAAGCTGAGGTTTACCTACGAAAGAGTTTTCTTGCTTTCTGCCATCCTTGGAAAAGTGGGAAATGGTGTCATGTTGGAATTGGGCTGGACTTACTTCCAATCTCTCTTCTCCCTACCTTGGATCACTTTTCTGGTCCTCAGTTTCCTTATCAGTGAGGATGCCACCTACCTGTGGAACAGCCATTTATTTGAACAGATGCCATGCTTTCCGTATGTGGAAACTCCCTTCCTCTTTTATCAAAGCAGTTGGCTTCGCTAACCTACATTTGGCACACATTGGCTGATTGCCTGTTCTTTCCTGGACCCTAAGGTGTGATTTGTCTCTGCATTCCCTAGCACCTTTTACATAGGAGATTCTCAGCAATGTTTTCCTGCTGGATTGATATTCCCTCTCCAGAAAAAGTGGAGGCTATATGATGTTCTCCCAGAACAGAAGGTCACTTCAGGCATTTTCATGGCTATGCATTGAAGTGTGGCTGGCCCCAGGTTGGAGTTTTTAACTCTTGGCTCCTTGTTTAACCTCTTACCTCTGAGAACAGATTATTCACTGATGCCTTTAGTGGAGCCTCAAGAAGACTTTTTTTTTTTTTTTTCCTGTACACAGAGCTGTGGCTTTTCTGATTTTCTCTGCTTTCATTCAGAATCTCCCCTAGCTGTCTAGGAATACTAGTTAACTAAGGGCTTGGCTTTGGATGCCTGGCCAGGGCCATTGGGCAGAGACACAGACACCTGGCAGGCGGGTTTCCGAGAATTCATTGCAACAGCTGTGTGGCCTGATTGCTCCAAGCCTATTACTCATTTTGCATAATTGTTGACCTTTCTGTCTGCACTCTCCATGGAGAATTTCAAGCCATTTTCCAGAGCACAGATGAATATCTGAAATGCACAATAGCACAGGAGGCTGTCAGCATCAGCCTTACAATTCTTCTTTGTAGCAGAGGTGGGGGAGGAGAGTGAGGCCTAGTTAGGAGAGCAACTCTGGCTTGAGTCAGGCAGCTTCAGGTGATTAGACAAGGAAAACGCACTCATGTTGCCACTTGAAGATGTCTGCATCTTTTTATTGGTTCAGGTCTTGACAGTGACATCCCTTTGTGCATAAGTCACTGATGACCAGATGTACAAAGTCCTTTAAAATTGATAAAGGATTTTACCTTTCCAGTCACATCCCTCTGCCCTTAGCTCAGGAACCCATGTGCAAAACACAACAGACTCTCAGTGGTTTCCCAGAAGAGCCATGCCAGTTCCTGGACCTTTGCACAAGCTATTTACTTCTCTTAGAATGTCCCTTCCTCACCTGCTAACGTTTTTTGTTGGCGCTCATAGGCTGAATTAGTCGCTTCATCCTGTGTCTTCTGATAGTGCCTTCCACCTCATCCATATTACATTGTATCATATGCTTATACCTCTAGCTTGTCCTATTGGAGGGTCAGGGTCTGGAGAGTATTCATTATTCTATTTCTAATGCCTGGCACATAATAGGTACTCTGTAAATGCTTTAAAAATGAGTGAGAAAATAAATATGGAATGAATTCTTATTTTAGATGCTATAAACGTACACTATGTTGTCTGGGACTCTTTATATTACAAGCGAAAGAAACACAAAGTGATTTAAGCAAAAAATAAACTTCTTGGATTATGTAACTGAAAACTCTGGGGAAGGCTAGCTTTAGGAGTGGCTTGATTCAGGGTGCAAACAATGTAGACAACAGACATCTATCAGCTCACCATCGTCTGGGGGTGGCCTTTATCCGCAGTCTGGCTCCCGCTCATAGCATTGAGGTGGCTAAAGCAATGTGAGAAGTGAGATTTTTACTCCCTCAATCTGCTAAGGCCAGAGGAAAAGAGAGGGTTTCTTTTCTTCCAGAAGGTGCAGCAAAGGTCTCATTGAGTCTGACTGGGATACGTGCTAATCTAATAATCCCTGTGGCCAAGGGGCTAGCTATGCAAATTGACTCAGGTCAATCAGGATTTACCTTTGTCAATTTCTTTCAAAACAACATTGGCAGAATGTGAGGGAAAAGGTGAAATCCACAAAAGGAAATCAAGGTACTATTGCTGCAGGAAGGGAATATGGATGCTGGCCAAGCAAACAACCTACTTTCACTCTCTGTGTCCAGTCCCACAGGCTTAATGCAAGAGAAAAAATAAATAGACAAACAAAAACCTTTCAAAGGGTTTAGCAGCCATATTCAATTTTTGTGAACTAAGTCCAAACCCTAAAGCAAAATGTACAGTCAAGTCCTTTGCTCTAGAGTTAAAAATTTCCAGAAGGGCCTCCATTTAATAAATCACACAGTTGTGTGTTTTATTGTTAAATATTACTTTTTATTACAGTAGACATCAGATGTGTCATTCTTTCCTTTGGTCTAGGTGTATTTTCTCTTGCAGTAGTTCACAATTTTATGATTTGGGAAATTGTGGTAAGGTCCATGAGTAGAGAATTACAAGTTTCCAAACACAGATCTGTGCCTTAAATTGCTGACTGAGGTTTTCATCTTTTTCTTTTTCTGCAGCAAATATTGCCAATTGGGAGGGAAAATAAATCACAGGTAACATGAAGAAATTTTTATCTTTTTAGCGGTAGTATAAAAATTCCTTCCTAGGGAAAGATTGAAGATGTCAAAAGGAAGCATTGGTAAGCGTACTCTAGGAGTACACGCAAACCCTAATGATACACAGGTCCCCAACAACCAGAAGAAGGAAACGAGTTTTAAAACATGGGTAGAAGAAAGAAGATGAGTCAAATTCAGTGCAAGAAGAGGAGACCTGAGAAAGGCGAGGAGAATTGGTCCAATGGGGATTTTATTTTTGCCTGGGAACAGAGTATACAACTAATGATGTAATATTCCTTCTCCATATATCTTTGGAAGTCTTTAGTGCAATCAGTATTGCCCCATAACACTTTGGTACAAAAAGATTTTAGGAATTCCAAGAAAAGTTGATGACTTCTTCATGGTTGATGCTGGGCAAAAAACAGAAGTTGCTATAAGGATCCTCCAATATCTAGCTTATGCATGCTATATTTTACCTCTTCTGAGATGTCAGAGATTTAAGATGCACTTTTAATTTACATATGCAGATGAAAAAAAGTTGTTGATGCAACTATGACAATGCTTTCTCATTACTTATAAATATTACATGATACCTATCAAGACCAACAGGTATGTTATACTTTACATATTATGTACAGTAATATGTATTAAACATAATACATAATATTATGTTTAATGCAAGAGGTCTTTTAGATTAACACATATGTTTTATCATTTATCACTCATATTATCTGAAAAAAAGAAAAATATAAATTGGTTTGTGAATTTCTAAGATTTCTTCACGTTTAGAGGTAGGCTCTTTTGAATTACTTTGCAACAGGCTGTCAATGATTGCGTTATCCTCCAGAATGTGGCTGGCTGTCATCAAGTATTTTGTGTCACAATGTTTCTTATGAGTGTACCACTATTGTCTCCAGGATTTTTTTCTAAACCCATTTTATGAGATTTGTTTCTGGTGCTCTCTTGATCTTACCAGAAATTGCCAATAGAAGTTACAACCAACTCTCCTATTCCTTCTTCTAATGGTCTTCAAATAATTTGTAACTAAAATGTTGAAAGCTTACAGCTGTCTTTTCTTATTCTCAAGCATAACAACCAAGCTACTACACACCAAGTTGTTGTTTAACCAAGTTTTTAGTCAATGACAACTATATGATGGCCACCTGGTCAACAGCAATTTTAAGGTGCATTTGTTGGAAAGCCTCCCAATTTAAGACATGCTAACTTGTTAAGAAATAAATGCAGTTATAAAATATCAGGGTTACAAAGGAACTTTAGGATACATTCACTGCAATCTACCATTTGCAGTTGAAATACTGGCGCCAGAGAGATTGATTTATTTCCTAAATTCATACAGATGCTTGTAGAGCATTGCGACTGCAACTCAGACTCTTTATCCGTCCTACTCTTTATCTCACATAATCTTGCTTTTATCCATAGGTTCTCATGTAAGTCAGCCATTTTTTGGTGTTTTTTTTTGTTTTAAACATGGATTATGTTCTGTGGCAGGCAATAGAGTTTGGGGACAATTCTGAATTGTTGGAGTCCATCTCTTGTTTTCTACCATAAATCTTTGTAATGGCTCTATCAATTTAGAAGTATTATATAAATACCGTTTTAATTATGGAATGTTTTGTATAAAAATTATAAAGTGTGGGCCGGGTGTGGCAGCTCATGCCTGTAATCCCAGCACTTTGGGAGGCCAAGGTGGGCGGATCACGAGGTCAGGAGGTTGAGATCATCCTGGCTAACACGGTGAAACGATGTCTCTACCAAAAAAAAAAAAACAACAAAAAAATTAGCCAGGCGTGGTGGCAGGAGCCTGTAGTCCCAGCTACTCAGGAGGCTGAGGCAGGAGAAAGGTATGAACCCAGGAGGTGGAGCTTGCATTGAGGCGAGATCGCACCACTGCACTCCAGCCTGGGCGACAGAGCAAGACTCCATCTCAAAAAAAAAATTATAAAGTGTGAAATTATCTGTATTATTGAATCTCTCTCTCTCTCTCTCTCTCTCGGGTGTGTATGAAGATAAAGACGTTAAGTATAAGTTAGGTGTTGAAAGAGAGCCCAGAGAAAAATCATCTGTAAAAGTCAATGAGAATCATTTATCTGGGCAGGGACTCTTTATGAAAAGTTAAGGGCAGACAGGACCTCCTTCCCACACAGAGTTCAACACCTGGAACTCATTGTATCAGGTTCATAGGTCAGGACCATATCCAAAAGAGGGGATAAAAACTTGGAACAAGTTTTCTCAAGGTGAACTATTTCAACTTCAGAAATGTTTATTTTACAAGCCCAGTAAAACCGTTAGGACCTGCCCAGTAAACCTTAGAAGGATTGAGCATTGAGAATATGGGACTCGTTTCTTCAGCAAGGGTAACTAAAGACATAGAGAAGTTCTTTGTTCTTTCCCTAATTGTTTTACTGTTTTCCAGATAGCTAGAAGAAAGGGAGGAAAAAAATAAAATTCATTTTATAGAAGTCACGTCTGCCTTTGAGTTACATTAATCCTTAATAACACAGGGACAAAATTATCTCTTGGTTTAAAAACAAAAACACACTTGTATCTTTAATAAAAGTTTTAGAATTCAAATTAAATTCAGTGGGCTTTCTGACTCTACCAGAGTATTTTGAAAAATCTCTCCACTGTATGAATAACTGTAACATCTTTTCATCCACTCATAACTTAATTCGTCTGCAGGTTTAAAAAGTCAATTTTTGAATCCAGAGTGCAGACCATGCCATCCTTTTCTTTGTCTATTACTAATGATGGGTTTTTACTTTGCCCGTGGAGAGAAAATACTGGCCAGGAGACAGGTGAGTTTGGTTCTTCTTGGATTCACTGTTCATTTGTTTGCTTCATTTTCTTTCAATGCCTTCAAGATGTCCCAGCTTTAGTTAGCTTTGCACAGAGCTCTGGGCTTAGAAAACAGCCTTCCCTTGGCTATACCTCCAGGTGGGTGATGAAGGCTGCTTCTGCCTTTGGATTTGGGAGACTGGGCTTAAATCTCTTCACAGACCAGTTAAGTCACTTCAAAAGAGAACTACTCTGGCAGGCTTATTCATGTTCACAATAAAGATATTTCATTTCATTAAACTCAAGACTTGACTTTCTCTCAGCAAGGTCGAGGAAAATGTTACTTGCAGCACTATTCCTTGACTTCACCAATGTCACCAATGTTTGATTTATGGCAGCTGTGCCTTTGTGAACCTCGAAAGGGCTTTGCTGAGGAATTCCTGCTTCTTCTGAAATTAAGGGGTGCAGACAAAGAGCTGGCTGACTGAGTGAGAAATGGAAACCTCTATCCATCATTCGAATAGTGACTGGGACTTCTGGGCCAAGGGAGGCTGCTTTTTTAAAAGACCAAGGAGATTTTTATAACTGTGGTCTCTTCGGCGTGTGTGTTTATATGTGCACACATGTGCATATTGTAATGGTGTCTAAGTCTGAAGCCTGAGTTTAAAAAAATATTAATAAGCTGGTTCTGAATTCTAACTCTAACTGGTCAAGAGAGAAATGAGAACAGTTGTGGGATATAGTATATTGTTCCAGGGACTTTGGATCCCAAATTGCAAGCCTATAATATACCTTTGAGGAACATGCCATTGAGGTTCCTTAGAAGTTGAGCTGTATTTTGGCCAAGGACCATGCCTGTATTTAGCATTTCCAAATTCCAGAAATAAATACATAGGTATATTTGACACGGAGTTTCTCTCTTGTTGCCCAGGTTGGAGCACAATGGCATGATCTTGGCTCACTGCAGCCTCCGCCTTCCTGGTTCAAGTGATTCTGCTGCCTCAGCCTCCCAAGTAGCTGGGATTATAGGTACCTGCCACCACGCCCAGCTAATTTTTTTTTTTTTTTTTGTATTTTTAGTAAAGATGGGGTTTTGCCATGTTGGCCAAGCTGGTCTCAAACTTGTGTCCTCAGAGTGATCCACCCAACTCGGCCTTCCAAGGTGCTGGGATTACAGATGTCAGCCACCGTGCCTGGCCCCAGAAAGATACTAATCTTTGGAAATGAGAAATTGCAATTCTTTGGCATTTTCAGGGATGCCCCACATCATAAGTTATTTAAAAAATATATCCAACATTCTTTATACTCTTTACTTATTGTTAAAAGATATGTAATGGACAGCTTAAAAAATAAGTAATATTGGCTGGGTGCGGTGGCTCATGCCTGTAATCCCAGCACTTTGGGAGGCCGAGGCAGGCAGATCATGAGGTCAGGAGTTCAAGACGAGCATGGCCAACATAGTGAAACCCCGTCTCTACTAAAAATACAAAAAATTAGCTGGGCGTGGTGGCGGGCACCTGTAATCCCAGCTACTCGGGAGGCTGAGACTGGATAATCCCTTGAACCCGGGAGGCAGAGGTTGCAGTGAGCGGAGATCGCGCCACTGAACTCCAGCCTGGGTGACAGTAGAGGCTCCGTCTCAGAAAAAAAAAAAAATAATAATATTTTAGTAGCATTTACCAAAAAATGAAGCCTATAATGAATATTTGAACACTGGAAAACACCAGCAACATCACTGAGCAGTATTCAAATAATATAATGTTTGTATCTCTCAGCAAGGTAAATAGTGTTACAGAGAATCAGGTATCAGAATTGCCGATTAAGAACTTATTTTTCTTTGAAAATTTATTTCTCTAAAAACCACTCATAGTAGTCATATAATACTCTTCATATAAACTTGTTAATCTTTATTTTAATGTGAGCATGACTCACCATTAGCAGCTAGATCGGCTGCACATACATCCCAACAACATGGTCAATAGCTACATGCAAGACCAACAGATTGGAACTTGACCTCTTCTCTCCTGTGCATTTCTCTTCTGGTTCCTACAAATGCTGACATTGGCTTTTGATATCATGTGTGAGAATTTCCTGGTTTTGTTTTCCACCTGAAGTTAGTGGGTTCCTTAGAGCCAATAATGTCTAACTTCTTTAATCCCATTACTCGTTATTGGTCTGTTCAAGTTTCCTATTTCTTCATGTTTCAATCTTGGTAGATTGGGTGTTTCCAGGAATTTGTTCATTTCTTCTAGGTTTTCTAATTTGTTGATGTATAGTTGTTTCTAGTAGTCCCTAATGATTCTTTGTATTTTTATGGTGTCAGTTTTAATGTTTCCTTTTTTGTGTCTATTTATTTGGGTCTCTTTTCTTCTTTTCTTAGTCTAGCTAAAGATTTTCTTAGTCTAGCTAAACCAACTTTTTGTTTTGTTGTTCCAATTTTTTTTCATCTCAATTGAGTTCATTTCTGCTCTGCTTTTTATTATTTCTTTCCTTGTTCTAATTTTGGGTTTGGTTTGCTCTTGCTTTCCTAGTTCCTTGAGGTGTATCATTAGGTTGTTTGTTTGGGGTGTTTATTTATTTTATGTAAGTGTTTATTGCTATAAACTTCCATCTTAGTACTGCTTGTATTTATCCCATAGGTTCTGGTATGTTGTGTTTCCATTTTTACTTGTTTTAACAAATTTTTAGATTTTCTTCCTAATTTCTTCACTGACCCATTGTTTGTTCAGAAGCACGTTGTTTAATTTTCCTCCTGTTATTAATTTCTGGTTTTATTCCATTTTAATAAAAAAGTTTGATATAATTTCTACTTTTTTGAATTTGTGAGACTTGTTTTGTGACCTAACATATGGCCTATGTGGAGAATGTTCTGTGTACTAATGAGAGAAATGTGTATTCTGCGGCAGTTGAATGAAATTTTCTGTAAATGTTTGTTAGTTCCATTTGATGTAGAGTATAGTTTAACTACAATGTTTCTTCCTTGATTTTTTTACCTGGATGATCTGTCTATTGCCAAAAGTACAGTGTTGAAGTTCTCTACTATTAATGTTTTCCATCATATTTCTCTCTTTAGACCTATTAATATTTGTTTTGTATATTCGAGTGCTCTGGTATTGGGTGCATATATATATTTATTATTGTTACATCTTATTGTGGAATTGACCCGTTTATTACTATACAGTTACCTTCTTTGTCTTTGTATAGTTCTGACTTAACATCTATTTTATCTAAGTATAGCTGCTCCTGATCTTTTCTGATGTCCATTTTTGTGGAATAACTTTTTCCATTTCTTCACTTTTAATCTATGTATGTGTTTATAGGTGAAGGCAGCATATAGTTGAGTCTTGTTTTTTAATTCAGCTACTCTATGTCTTTTAATTGAAGAATTTAGTCCATTTACATTCAATGTTATTATTGATAGGTAAGGCCTTACTATTGCCATTTTGTTTCTTGTTTACTAGTTGTTTAACTCTTCTCTTCCTTTCTTACTGCCTTCCTTTGTGGCTGAGTGATTTTCTCTAGTAGTGTGTTTTAATTCACTGCTTTTTATTTTTAGCATATCTATTAAAGGTTTTTGCTTTGTGGTTACCATGAGGCTTATAGAGCCAGTAATGTCTTCATATTAATTGTTAAACTTTAATTCTCACCGGAGGATTATGCTTTCTCCCATTTTCCCAGTCTCTAAACTAATTTTCCTTGAGGTTTCAGATTTAGAAAAGCATAAATTTCCCCTAAAATTCTGGAAAGGAGTTATTGCATGGACACACTGCCTGGGTTATACCTGATTTTTTTCACTATGCCAAGAGCAGAACTTTGTATAGTCAGCTCTTTAATGTGTGTCACATTAGGTGTTCTAAAAATCGGTGTGCTGATCAAAATCACACAAGAAAAACCATAGGGCTTGTGCAGAAAAATGGGGTTAGAAGTAAAACAATTAAGAGCTTTATCAGTGACACATAAAAAACAGAGAATAATGAATAAAAATTGTAGCACAGTTTTATACACAGTTAAACAGTAGAGACATAGACAAATAAAAAAATAAATAGGGCACTTTGTCTTGAAAATGATATGAGGTTTGCCTATGACAGTGGGCATCAGAAGGTGGATGCTTGTGAATAACTGAAAAGCTGGAAGGAGGGTCAGCTGAAATCAGATGGGAAATTGGAATACCAGATGTCGATGGGTGTGGCTCATAACAGAAGCAGTGAACTGAGGTAGCTGATTGCTATTGAGATGTGCATGTGTGCCTGTGTGTGTGTGTTTTGTGTATTCCTTTGCTGTGTTTAGCTAGGTTCAGTTTTCACATTGGAACACAGTCCTGTTTTCAAAACAAGTATTCTAGAGGAATTGATTATATGGGTAGAGTTAATCAAAGCTGCCAAACAAAAGAATGGCTTTTTCGGGTTCTTCTCCACTTTCTCCCAATCTTTGCTTTAGTCAGTTAGAGATGCATTCTCTCAGTGGAGATATTTATACTGCGGATGCCTCATTGGATTGTGTGTGTGCTGATATTATGCCCTTTATTTCTTTTTTTCCTCCTTCTTCCTCAGTCTACAATGTCAGAGATACTCCAGTGACCCAAAAGAAGGTGTACATGTAACAAAAGGAGATGACCGCCCATGGGTATAATTTGAGGAAAGCCAAACATCCTGCTTATTTAAGAATAGCAGTCCTGCTAGCCATCCACAGTAGCCTGAGTCACCACTATTGGGAAACAAGGGACTGTATTTTTTTGTTAAAAGAGATGTGTGACACTGGAATTGGGTACATCAGTACTGCCCATAACACTTTCTAGAAATATCTACCGTAGTGTATTTAGCAGTGGCAGCAGACCTTAATGACTAAGATAAGGAATGGTAAATGTTCCTCTTTTTCTGTTTTTATAGTATACTCTATATTTTATTGGCTATAAAAATAACATATATCCAAAAGGTAACATTTTAGAAGGGACAAAATAGAATCATATCCATTCCATCTGAAAATGTTTTCACACATTTCCTTCCAGTCTAGGAGTAGTAGGTTTAGGTGGTAGAAGAGAAGAAGATGGAGCTGGTTGTGTTGTAACATTCCTTGCTGGTGTCTTTACTCTAGTATTGTCTTCACTCATGAATCTAATGTAAAGGCTAAATGACAGCTTGGGACAGCTAAACACACGGCAACTTCAAAATGACTCCTCCTACTCTCTTGGCTGGTCTTCCTAGGAGAGCTTCACTGCCCATGATGACCCAAACTTTTCAACCAGGCATCGGCCTCAACTGGCTTTGAACATACTATTGTTTTAGCAACTAAACTCCTGGATTATCTTCTTGGCTCTTAAATTCTGCTTGTGCATTGTACTCAGCTAGTTGTTGAATTTCCCTCTTGGCTTTAGGGACATGGCTTATACCAGCTTCCTGGCTTGTGGATTTAGTGTATGTGTAGACTTGGTTTTGGATCATGCCTTTGACCTGGGTGAGCTATCCGGCACCACAACCACACTTATGAGCTACTTGATTGACTAGGCATGCCCAACATCCAGTCCCACTGTGAAGGGAGCAAGATTAGCTAATGGAATCCAGTTACCAGGGAGAATATGCCTGCCTTGTGTACCGTAGCAAAGGTCCCTGAGCCACCCTCCAGATGACTTACACAGCCTCGTAAGATTGTCACTACAGGGCTACTGACCTTCAGCATTCCATGAAGACTTCTTCAGCTTCTGAATTTCATCTTAGCATCTTGGCTCACAATAGGAAAATATAGGGCAAATTTTTTTATTTTGCTGTTTGGTGACTCCACCACTTTTGCAACAGTACTTTTGGTGCCCATTAACCAAATTACTTTGATTTCTTTGTGTAAATATTATGAAGACCAGAACCTTTTGAGAGACCTGAGCCACAGAACACCTCCAAAGACGGACCAAATCAACTGGGAGCTCTGCTGATTCCTCTGCCATCTCAGCAGCCTCCTAGTCCCTAGATAGTGGCTGCCACTCTTTCCCCATCATTGTGTCTTGTCTATAAGCCATGTCTAGACAAGGCTGAGATAGACAGAGCTTTGCCTACTATGTCAGAGTTTAGTTCAAATGGGAGGATGCTGGGGGTATTTTATCATCCAAACTTGGTGAAAACATTGTAGAGTGCTGTGGTAAGTAGGCCACAATGGAAATAATGGTAATGGTGTTTATGAAGTCTTGTGTTAGTTTACAGCTTTACAGAATACAAAATGCATTCACTTTGATGATTGATTTTATGACTGCCAAACCTCTGTACAGTAGGCAAAAAGGGATATGATGCTTAGAGAGGTTAGGTGATTTGCCAGAGGTTGCACAGCTCAGGGGAGGGATCGATCCAGGATTCTGAGTCAGGTCTTTCGATTCCTAGTGCAGGACACATTCTAATTTATCATCACTGTATATTGCCATAGGCTACCTAATCAGCCCTTAATGTCAGGTCAAAATCATAAACTGAGGACCAAGGCAATATTTCTTTTAAATTAAACACTCTAATACAGCACAGAGAATCCTGTGGGGTCTACATAATTATTTATAAACTGGCTTATTCTTTTGTTTTTAAAAATCTCGTTTTTTTCCTAAGACAGATTTTTAGAAGTAGAAGGAATTATAGAGATGTAGCTTCGTCAACCCATGTTGTAGATGAAAAAATTGAGGCTCAAGAAATTTGAATCATCCAGTAAATGGAAAGGCTGGTGAACTAACTCATTTTCTGAATTCCAGTCTGGCACTTTCTCTCACCTTAATCTGTCGAGGAGACAGCAACCATCATCACTGCTTCATCTTCTCCTGCCTCCTCTACTCTGTCCATGCCACAGGCTTTAGTGTCATCTTAAAGTACCCGACATCTCTCCAGGGCTGCTTCCTGGATTTATGCCCTAGACAAGCCTAGACATTTGGATGAAAGCCAAGTAGGTGGTAAGTAACATTCTCATTTTGGATGTGCCTTGGCTTCACCTGACAGCAAAGCCATGAGTTGGCAGCAAATGGAGGCATCCTGTGGAGCTGAGTAAAGCCCGGGTCTCTGCAGCAGAGAAGGGAGGGCTTGCACACTGGCCCCAGGCAGTTTCTAAGTGTGCATCATTCCATTCCTGTCTCTCTGGCCTGCTTCTTTGGACTAAAGTGGGTTATGGAGCTCTGGATTCTTTGGAACCAGAAATTATCAGAGAATGAAAGAGCATGGAGAGGCCTTGCCATCTTTATTACCTCTCTTCATCTCCTTCAGACAGTGCAGCACTTAAACTTTTAGGAAACTTCAGAATCAGCAAAGAAATAGCAATTGCCAATAGTACAATAGTTGATACCATTCATTGAGCAGGTAGGTGTATTGGCTTACTTACGTTGTCTAACTTAATTCTCCTAGAAACCTCTTCTTTTCTCAGGTGAGGCAACTAAAATTCAGCGAGGTAAGGTACTAGCTTAAGCCTTCATTCCTTGTGAACGTCCATGTTGTGAAGATTTGTGCTGAAGCTCTACCACTCCAAGTTCTGTTTTCTTGCCACTACAGAGGGTAGTGCATAGCAGCATTGAAATTGGCAGCAGTGACTTTCTAGGTGCCCCGATGCACCTAGGGTAGAGGAGTAGCTACCTGGAGTAAGGCTGGAAAATGTGGGGTGGGATACAGAGGTGCAGATTTAAAGACTGTCATTCTCCTTCAGACTGAATTATTCTTCATCAAAGATGTTAGGCCTTTCTTTTTGGTCTATCCTAGGGCTGTTTTATGCAAGCAAGGGAACTTCCTTAGGGTACTGTAGGCATGGTTTTTTTCCTCCCACAGTCTACAGGGTGAGTTGCCTTGTACAAAATATACATTTTGTAGATTCTCCCAGGAGGGTAATCGTAGTTTATAATATTTTGATGGTGTCTTTACAGTTGTCTTTTCTGCAACAGCAGTTTCCCCTTATCCCAGGACCAAGCTCTTCTCCATCTCTTGTTCTCAGTGATCATGTCCTCAATGTGAGTTGAGACAGGTTCTCCACACTAACACATGCACATGCATTCATGATGCCATAATGATGTCTCTGATTATCAAGCAATGGCATTCAAAGGGTTCAGCCAAAATGCCTGCACACAAAATGACCTGCTCTGATGGCACATGCCTCACAGCAATAGGAAGGATCTTTGACAACCTGCATTGCTTGAGCAGTGGGGTGAGGTGAAAAAGGGCACATTTACTGTATAACTTTGGGCACGTTTTTTTTAACCCATATGAATTCCAAATAAAATATGGGTAACATGTATCACTAACTTCAGAGTTGTTAAAAGGACTAAATGAGCAATGTATAGAAAGCTGGTATAAGTCAGTTTGCACATACTAGTTAACCGATAAACACAGTTCCCTTCTTATTCTCTTCTTCTCCTTGATTCTTAAGGCCCTAAAAGGACAGTAATTTTAGGAGATTCTAACACATTCAGGAAAAGTCTTGGGCTGACTAAGTAGGCATAACATAGGCTTGATGGTCCTGCAGTCCATCCTCTTCCTGCTATCCTCAAGAGATCCAGACCCATTGGGAAATCCTCTGAGCAGCCTTTGGGTTCTCACACTCCTGCCTTGAGCTGTGGCTGTTCCTCCATTGAATGTGGAGGACTTCTTTTCCACAGGGACTCACAGATGCAGGAAGGTGGAAGGCCACCAATAGCTCTGCCCCACCGTTCCCCATAGTTCCTCCCCTTCCTCCCCTTCCTCCCTGACCATCATGGGAACAGGGAAGCTAGGACTGCTAAGACTGCTTTCTTTCAGATGAGGTCAGACATCCAAGGGGGAGGAGTGGGAGGCAGAGCATCACTGATATCATCTGCAAATAATATTTATGGAGGCCCTGTAAGACCCTGATGTGAAGTAGAATTATGAGGAAGGAAAAAAGAGAAGGCCTATCTCTATGCCCCAGGAGTGCACCTTCCCAGACTGACAATGTACAGGCATGGACTTGACATAACACTCCCCCTCCCACCTTATGCTCACATTCATCTCTACTTAGTATCTGATCAGCCGCTCAGATCTGCTTTCTCATCACCTGTTCCCTTGGAAATGGGAAACACTTTAGTCTGTGGGGAAGATGGAGCACGCAGAGGGGAAGCAGTCACTCCACTTAATGTGGTGAAGTTTGGAGCAGCACTGAGGAGCATTTTAGCATTTTAGCAAATGTGTATTGAGTGCTAAGATGTGCCAGAATGTTTCTCTCATGATTTTATCTAATTCTGACAACTTTGTTAGATAGAGCATGTTTGCCTCAAGTTCTGAATTTCGAAGGTGAGATTAGGTTATGTGAAGGGAGTTGTCCAGGGTTGTACCATCTGTCAGTGTCATCCAGTGCTGGTAGCCAAACTCAGCTCTAATACTCCATTCCTCTACCCAGAACTTCATGGCTTTCACTGGAGAGGCTGCTCTGGAATCTCCAGGAAAAAGAATTGCTGCCATTTTCATTCAATTGTGTGTTTGAAATTGAACTTGCGTTCATGGGGCCTGTAGACCTCAAGGAGCCTGTTGTAATGGGGTCATCTGTTGTTTTCCTGGTGAAGATTTCTGCGTCTGGAACATCCTAATGAACATTTCTCTTTGTTACTTGGTGGGGTCCTTCTTATGTGTTTGAAATGATGGATTTTCCCCAAATAAAGAGGTGCTCATTGAAGTCAAGAACAAATACATCCACGAACTCCTCACCTTTCCTCTCAGCTGGTGACCAGCAGAGCAGGGCTGCCACTCAAAGAAGCCCTTGTGTTTCAGATGCAGATGAAAGGCCGGTGACCAGAGAGAGAAAGCACTGGAAGGGGATAAGGTCTTGTCCACAACTCCTTCCCTACCTGGTCCTCCTGTTGTGCTCCAGTGATGGAGCCCACTGCTCCAGTGAGTGTGAGAGCCTTGTGATGAAGCCGAGTTCATGACCCCCCAAATTACCACTCCCACTTCTGATTTGGGCACTGTTTATCAGAAGCTTGCTCCTGTGACCTTGAAAGACATGTGAGAAAGAATATGCATTTTTTCCTGCTTTTTTTCCCCAACTTTCACAATCTTGCTTTCCTTCTTCCATTCTGTCTTCTCTGTCAAGTCAATAGCACAGACCTTCCAACCCATGATGCTATAGCCGAATGGCAAGAAATCAAATGCAAATGCAGTCAAGTTCATTCAACAAAATAATTATTGAGTGCTTCCTATGTGCTAAGAACATAGAAGCTGAGGTAGAACTGGGAATGAAACAACTTGACTATTGTGGAGTTTTCCCTGTGGTGAGGGATATAGGTGATAAACAAATAAACATGTAAAATGTTTCATTTTGGGTTCCCCCAAAAGCAGACCTTAGGAAAAGGATTTGGCTGCAAGTAGTTTATTTAGGAGATAACCCCATGAAGCACAGTGAGGGAGTAGAGGTGTGAGCTGCAGAAAGGAGAAAATTCAATAAAGGGCACATTAATCAGGGGGTTCCTGTGGGGCAACTGGGGCTGAATGCCCCTGAGGACCTGCTGAAGGTCAGTGCAGAAAACTAGTCAGAGACTTCCTCTTGTGGGATAAAAAGCTGGGGTATTTTTTCGCAAACTTCTTTGCTTCCTAGAGTGCTAACTTCTCAGCATTTCTGGCCAGCCTTGTCCACAGACTGAATATGTTTCCATGGCCAGAGGAAATCAATAACACCATCTATCATAGAGACAAATAAAGCCATAGGCTGTAAGGAAGGTGTCTGTGGTGAACTCCAGGGAAGGCCATGGGTATGGTCAAGGAGATATAAGTAGGATGACATCAGCGGCTGCTGAATTAGGTGGAAATAAGTACTAGAAACAAGGTTAGAAAAGGCTGTTGGGTGATCGTTGGGGGAGGGACCTCCTAACATAAGGTGGTCAGGAAATGTCTTCCTGAGGAGGTGACTTCGGAGTAAAGACCTGAAAGAAGTGAGAAAATAAGCACTGCAGACACATAGGGGAAGATGACTCCAGGCTGAGGGAGCAGTGAATGTAAAGACCTTCAAGCAGAAGTGGGCTTGGATCTGTTTTGAAGGTAGATCTATTAGGATTTGCTGATAGATTGGACATGGGGTTTGGGAGAGTGGAGTCATAAATGATTCTAGGAGTGTTGGCCAGAACATCTGGTAAAATGGAGCTGGCATTTATTGAGATTATGAAGTTCTGGGAGCATATTGGGTTGGTATTAAAAGTATTATTTCAGACATGTTAAGTTTGAGATAACTTTAGACATCCAAGTGAAGATGTTGAGCCAATAGTTACACATATTTGTTTGGAGTTCAAGGTAGAGGTTAGTTCCAGAGGTGTGAATTCAGTGGTCATCAGTGTGGAGATTGTATTTAGGACCACAGTAATGAATGAGATTACCTAGGAGATGAATGCAGATACAAAGAGAAGAGTTTTGAAGTCTAAGCCTGAAAGTACATTGTTGAGGTATCTGCGAAGAATTGGTTTTAGGACCTCCTGGAGATACCAAAATCTGCAGATATTCCAGGGGAAAGTTTTGCTTCAGAAACTTTCCCTGGAGTCATTGTATGTGCGAATTGGTGCTGAGAAGATGTCTACCTTAACAGGAGATTCAAATTTTCACTTCAGATTTAGATTAAAAAATCAAACAAAAAATAAATCTAAATGTTCAGATTTTTGTAAATGAATAAATTTAAGCTAAGAAAGACTCTACATTTTAAATGACCCTGGGGAAAAGCACTGAAGCAAAATATTCCCCTGGAGTATCTGCAGATTTTAGTATCTGCAGGTAGTCCTCAAAATATCACCCAAATCCTCTCAGTGGTAAGGTTACTTCAAACGTCTCTCCACAGATTTGGTCAGTACCCATCTGGACTGAACTATGCATTGCATGTAGCCAAAGATCTGATCTGAATGGATTTCCATCATTATTAAGATGAGTTTTTCATCACAATGGCGTTAGAACAGAAAACGATTTCTTCTACTCCTGTATTTCCTTATTCCAATCCATTATATAGACTGTTGTCAGCATAATCAAATAAGATCTTGGTAAAGAATTGACAATAGTCTCCTAATTCCTATAGAAAACTCTTGCTTTCCTTCCAAAAATCTTCATTTGGCCTAACTATCCACATTATCTTCACAAAGTAAATACCTTTATTTAAATTCATCTAATTCTGTTGTGTAACAAACATGGCTCTCTTAGTCCCACTTCGTAGATTTTCTGAAACCTTCCCCCAAAATACATATTTTTTTCTTTAATATCTAAAAATTCCATGCCTCTCCGAGTTTATGAAACAGAATTTCGTCTTTGGAATCAGAGAGACCTTGGTTTGGATTCTATGTTTGCCTTAGTTTCCCCTTCTATAAAATGAAGGTAACAATGCCACTCTGACAGAGTTGCTCTACATTGATTAGCTATAGGTCCTGGAATGTGACCTGTTACTGACGTCCTCCAATTTCATTCCAGAGAGATCCCCAGATAGGATAGAGCTTAAAAAAATAAGTATCCTCCTCAGGTCCCACTTCAGTACTGTTTGATCTTATCCAGCAGATCTCTACAGTAATTATTATCTGTAGGAAAAATTTAACAGTTATATTCCATCTTATTCTGTTTATAGTAGTTTCTTATACCAATGTGTAAAATTCAAGTATTAACTTAAATACTATTCTACTGTATACAGGATATTTATTAATTTCTTCAGAAAAATTATGTGTTTTTTGAAGGCAGGGATCATCTCATATATTTTTTTCTTAGTATAGTACACATTACTAAGTACATGGTGGCTCTAGAGATTTTCAATGACTGACTAAATAAATGTTATCAAACTGGCTCTGTTTTATTCAGACACTCCAAAGACAGTCTAATGTTAGCATGGATGGCCTCCAAGAAGAGTCCCAATATAGATGTCTTGTGTATATTAAAAAAAATGTACACATATATACATATGAGGATTTTATGTCACTACATTATATTCTGGAATATGAGTGCTATAGTGAAGGTCTTTTGCTTTTTTTTTTTTTTTTGGGTAAATTTAAAGCATTGATTGTGGTAGCAACATGGTCTAAAAAAGCATGGCTTTAGGAAGAGACTTGGATTCAAATTCCAATCCAGTTTTATAATTCCACTCACTGGCTGGGTGACTTCAGGTAAATTAGCCTCTCTGAGACCAATATTTTCCTCATTTAAAAAGGAAGTACATATACATGTGCCCTTATTTGTATAGTCCCAATAAGATGCCATGAGAAAGTACTTAGCAAGGTGTCTGGAAAGTAATAGGCATAGAGTCCAGGTTTGATTATGTTCTTCTTTCCATTTTCTTTAAACTACACCTAGTGAAGTGCAAGGATCAAAAGAAGTCATCTGTATGAAAGCACTGTGAAAATGACAGGGTTCTGAACACCTGCGAGGCATTAGCATTGTTATGGTTGTAAGCAAGGATGATAAACTCGGAGAGGAACACTGTGTTCTTCAGAGGGTCAGCCTCCCTACAAGGCTATCAGTAAAATTGCAGATCATCTTTCAGAAGATCCCTAGAATCAGAGCTTGCAGTGTTTCTGGGTAAGTCATGACCCATGGCTGACTGCCTATACCCTCACTCCAGAGGCCTCTTCTACCCCTAGAAAAAAATTCCAGAAGATAAATCACAAATGTCATAGTCATCCTGTTATTCCTCAATATAAAGACAATACAGCCCTTTGTTTTCCCCATTTTTTTTTGCTTGCTCCTACTCCCTTATTTCCCCCTATTCCCCCTTGTCTTTGACTAGAATTCAAGAAACTATTGGTAAATGTTGATTTTCCTCTTCAATCCTTGGGGATGCTGGTCTACCAGAAGGGAGTCTAAAGACAAAATTCTCATTAAGTGACATTGTTATGCTTTCTGCTGTTGTCCTCAACTTCTCCCTCTTCTAAATTGTTATAATTAAGAGAGTGCCCACTAAATAATTTCCTTTTGTCAGATGGATTATGTTTTATAATGGAGCCAAGTTCTATACTCATTACGAGTCCCGAGGCCAGTGCCAACAAAATGTCGCCACCTCTTCCCCGACAGCAGTAGAAACAGCAAAGGAAGGTCACTTAATGACAATTTGGGAGGAAACCAGTGTAGCTTTCAGCCAATGGTCTCCTATTTTTGAATGTCAATAAGGTGTTCTTTTTCATCTCAGAACCTCCATGGGTTCTTTATGCAGTAGGGATTTAGAAATGTGCTGGCATCAAAGTGTCTCGGAGCAACAAACAGCCAACAAATCTCAAACTAAAGTGATGTTGAATTGACCCACACAGACCTGAAAAATGTCCCACTCTGGGGATCCTGGTGGGTCAAGCTATCCGTCATTCTCATGCTGTGTTCTCATGCTGTGATTGCACCTCTGGGTTGCTGTGGCCAAGCTCCCTAATGAAAAGGAAATGATCCCATCAATCGCCCAGATGTTTGGCAGGGGGTAGACTAAACATCTGGTTGATTGACTGAATGGTTTTCTCTCCAGCCAGATGTTTGATATCAACAAAGCACAGTGTGTGAGTAGATCCTTTCAAAGGTCATTCTCCTGAGGCCCCCATCACTTCCAGTTTATAGGAAATTCTTCTCATCTATTAATATAATTTTTGATTCTCTGATGGGATCCTGCTTACTTTGCTTACTATATAATTTATTTTCATTTTTATCAACTACTCATCAACAACTTTCCAGCTCTGTTTGATTCCCTTTTCTACAAAGACACCCTTGGCAGATTTGCTAGTGGAGGTTGTAGTCATGCAAAAATGTACGAGCATGGGTAAAATGTTTAGATATATTTTCATAGCATAAAATATTATACAAATTATTCCTGCATTAGGTGTTCTTTGGATCACTGTTCAGGTAGCATATACCACTTATCAATACCACTAGGCATTCTGGAGGTAGATTTTGTCTTAACATCACATTACCCTTTCTACCATCTTTTCCTATTTAGCCAGGGAATTCTGTGCCTGAAAGAGTCTCTTAGTAGCATTGAGTGAAGCACTTGGGATCTGAGACAGTACGAGATGGAACTGGTTATGTGCTGTGGTGGAAAGAACACTGAATTAGGAGTCAGGATTTGAGCCCTAGACCCACTTCATTCATTGACTCTCTAAGTGACCTGGGCATCATTTCAATTCTCTAGGCTTCCATTTTCTAATTTGAAAAATGATAAATACAACTTAGCCTTTTAAGACTTATTCCAGCTCTAAGAATCTCTGATTTGCTGAAACCCAGGAGGGTGATGGATGAGATATAATCAATGTCATGACACAAAGTTTGAAGTGTTGCTTAAGAACAAAATTTTATATAGGTACAATGAATTAGTAGTCCTATTTACTTCCAAATGTTCCTAGGGTGAGCAACATATTAAATATGATATTGCCATTAATAGTTTACTATTATAAAATTCACTAGAATGAAATTGTTTGGAAGTTTAATTCTTACAAAGAAACACAAAGAAATGTGATTTGAGAATGGATCTAAGGAAACAATTGAAAGGCTTACAATAGAAAAGATGGTGTTTATCTGTTGCCATAGAAGTGGGTATCTTAGTGACGGGCATTAAGTGGAGAAGGGTAAAAAGTTAGGAAGAGAATATAAAAAGTGGATAGAAGGGGCAGAGCAAAAACTAATGTAACAGTAGTGTCAAGAACAGGCTCTCTGTCTCTCTCTTAAATTCTGCTGGATCATAGCATCTCAGGGTCAGGAGAGTCAAAGACCATAAAAGATATGAGCATTAATTAGGCATAAAAATAGCTTAAATTAGCCATTGCTTCATCTTCTGAAACTGAAGATGACTGTGCATATCTCTGAACCAATAAAATGTATATTTTAAAAAGCCATATTTGTCAGACTAGAAGGTTTTAGAGAAAGTGAATAAATCTGTGGGTCTTGGTTTGTGGTGTTTTCCACATGAAATTTTTTGTATTTCTTAGTTTTTGTTAAGCATTGTGAAAGCATTTTTACATTTGTGAAATGCTCAACGAATCATTCAGAAAGTAGGTAGTTATTGTCAGCATTAGTTTATTCTTAAGCAGCCAGAGATAAGAAAAAAAGTAAACTGCGGTCTTCCCGAAAATCGGATTGCAAAACTTAACCTCTATAGCACTAAAATATACTTAATAAAAATCACACTGCGAGCACTGGCCATGTTTTCCTTAACAAAACAAGTCTGTTTTTTTTTTTTTTTGTCTTAGTAGGAAGGTCTGGAGATTTTTCTTCAGTGAGCCTGGAATATTCTATTCAGTAGTCTTCTGGGATTTTACATCTCTCTTCATCCAGCCCTTATTTCTCTAATTTCCTCCAGAAGTGGTAAGGGTCAGGGAGAAGGGAAAATAGCTAAAGTAAAATCGCCTTTTCTTTATCCAAACACTCTTTTTTCTCTTGGATATAATACCTTAGCTAAAGACCCAAACTTTTAAAAAGAGCTTCCAAGGGCGCATTTCATGAAGGCAGCCAGTGAGCGGGAAAGGATGGAGGGAGGATGTGGACGGTGTTCTCCATACCATCTCCTCTACGTGCAACATGTGTTGTGAGCCGCCCGGGCTAGGTTAAGGGGAGTTTTGCCTAAAGATGTGGAGTCAAAGTGACTTCTCAGAGGTCCCCCTGGTCTTCTGGTTCCACAGCAGTGCCCAAGAACTGTCCTAACATATGTGGCATGAAAGTCCATATGGTTTCAATTTCCTTCACTGCATTACTGTTTTCGCTTTGTTTGTTCACAGACCTGCCTTTCTCAAAATTCCTGCTCTGCTGGCTCCTGCCACAGAGTTAGGGGTGGGGTAAGGTTAAAAAAACACTGAAGTGGAAGAGAGCTCAACCAGTTCATTTTGTATAATAAAATCCATTCCGTTGTGGTCCTGATTTCGTCAAGCAATCCAAGTCAACATCGGACATTAATGAGAGAAGGTTTCCAATTAGATACAGTCTGACACTGGCCCTGCTTCTCAGTCACCTTCAATTGTCACTGATAAAAAAAGGACAGTTCAATAAGATATGGATCATTCACTCCAAGTCTCCACAACTCATTTATGACAACTACAACTAACAGAGCATGGGGAAACTGCAGAATTGTTTTTCATTATCCTGGCACATTGGCTTCTGACTACAGCTGTAATGATCTTCAGTGGTTTTCCATACTGCAAATTTTTAATGAGTGATCTCAGATGTGATGGCAACCAGAATTCCTACTGAGAATCTCAGTTATCCTTTTGTTTTTGAAAGAACAAATGAGTCTCCAAAGGAAGAGACAGAGAAAAAAGATTTAAAATGAAAAAGTGATTTGTTTTCGTAAATGGAATGGGTTCTGGTGGGAGATAAGGTGGCATTCCAGCAGTATTTGGGGAGGAAGAAATTGGAGGGACCGGGCTCTGGAGTGTTAACCCACTGAGAACCCTGGAGGTGGCCATATACCCAAATGGTCTAGAGTCATGGGATAAACCGGAGTTTCAGGATGGCTAGTGCCAAAGTCTACATTATTCTCATAGGGTAAGCAGGGCCCAACCACTACAATTTCTGGAAAGTAATGATATTTCAAAACAGGTTTATGTCAATATTCCAGGTTCAGGTTCAGCCAGACTCCCTCTGGTGGGTAAAGATATGGGGCCAAAAAATAAATCCCTAAGATCTGGACATGCAAAGATTAGGATAATCAAGCCTCGGCCAATCAAGTAGGCTGCAGTTCATTTAACACATTTATTTATTGAATGAATAAATTAATGGAGTTTCACAGAAGGGTTTCATTTATTCATTTAATCAATATTTATTGAACATTCTATGCCAGATATGGTGTTCATAGATACTGGTGATGAGCTGTAGACACTATCCCTGGGAAGGGAATAGTGTGTAGGACAGCCAGAGTCTGAGCTCTAGGCAAGGCAGAGAGGTGCCTTTGAAGCTGAGGGCATGCAGAGGCTTCAGTAGACTTAACCATTTTTTTTCTCATCACTTAGCAGGTATCTTGTCTTTTCTTAGGGCTGTTATTTTTATTACCACAATTATTACATCAGCTACATCTCAATATCAAACCTCATGGGGACTAGGATGCAGGGCAGGGCAATAGCTGACCAAGGAAACATAATTCAGAAGGGCATGGGTGTTGAGAATAAGACAAGGTAGGCCCAGCCCAGAAAGGCATCTCAGATACTGAGAGGCATGGCAAAGCTATAAACCTGGAACCCAGGCTAACAACCTAGGCCACGTATGTAAAATACCAGCAACAAGGAGAAAAGCATAGGATCCAACCTTTGCATCCGCCAGCATGCTTCTTATATGTCCTTTGCTGGTGCAAGAGATAGTCCTGCCTAATTCTTCATGTGGGAACAGGCAGGTGGGTGAAGCCAGGTCAATACACATCTATTCTGCTATGCTATTATGCTATGTCTCGTTTATTTTTGAGGCAGTTTTGTAAAGTCAATTCTGATTTGCTCCATTTGGTGGAGTTTGTAAGCTCATCTCTAGTGCTCTGCCTTGAACAGAGGAGTTCACACTACTCTTACTACACAAAGCTCCACAGCCTCAGTCTTCAAAATGAATGATAATCCAATGTTGTATGGTTCCAGGATTATAAAAATAAGAGATAAAAACCACCTTTGAGGGCATGTGCTCAGCCCCTGTGTCTCCTTGGGACATGGCTTCCATGTTATTGGCTTACGGATTTTGGTCCAATCAGAGTTTAAATGTCCCAAATGCCAGACTCCACCTCTGGACTTAGAAGACAAACATAGAAAAGAAATCTCATTTTAACTATTTCTTTATGTTCAACTTTTATTTTTCCCTTTCTTCATTGGGTTTCATTAATCCTAATGGTATTGGCTTTCCCCTCTTGCTTTTAAAATATTTTTGCATCCTCTACAGCATTTGTACCCTTCAGATATTTATAGACTTCCTTGTCTTTCCTTAGTTATTAGTCAAGTCATGCATATTTAGCACTTTTAATCTCCCAGTCTCTCTTCATAAATCAATGCCCATATTGCTGGTGTCACTTTTGCCCCTCTGCCTATTTGATCTATATCTTTCTGATTCCGAGTGTTCACTACGTTCATTTATTCCATTGCAAGTGTCATTATTATTGCAAATACCTTAGTGAAAATCTTTCTCATCTAACTCTAAAAACAGCTCTGGACTCTTCCTACCAGATTTCATAACCTGGCCTATTTTAATCATCCTCTCCTTTCAAGAACATCTAGAAGGCAACAGTTTGTTGAAAAGATTGATGGACTAGGCTTTGGGTTCGAGTGCTTGCTTTATCACTAATTAAATTCTCTGGAGAAAGTCACTTTCTCTCTCTAAGCCTCAGTTTCCTAATATGTAAAAGAGGGAATTAGATTAGATATCGCTAAAGAATCATTGAGTTCTGAAATTGTATGATGGTCCTGGATTCATGAATTGAATAGCTTTGTAGAAATTACTTTCCTGTTGAACTTCTAATTTTCTCTTCTAATGGGAATTATGATTCCTTTCTTGTTCACCTCATTGAGTCCTTGTGGGGATCAAATGAAACTATATATGTGAAAGAGCTTTTAAAATTTTAAAGTGCTATGCAGACAGAAGGCTTTACTATTATTACAATGATAATTACAAGTGTCACTTCTATTTCTACCATCCCAAGCTCTCTGATATCCAGTTCTTGGCTCTTAGGCTGAAAGTCATTCTTTGTGTTACTGGTGGCTCTTTCCAGGCTCCTGTTTCATGGGGTAGCTTTATATAATATTAAACTCTTCCAGGCATGGAATAGTTTTGTGACTTGTTTATTTATTGTTGATAGCAAATATGCTTTCATTTTCCCAGCCTGTGTATCTTGATTTTATGACCAAGTTTATTTCACTTTATCTGATTGCTAGTATTTTAGATTATTGGTCCTAGGGAAATATCTTGCACTTCCTTCCTAACTTAGACCTCCGTATATCTTTGTCAGTCTGCCTTATTTATGTATCCTCAGTGGTGTTTCTACATCCTCCTAAAAATATCAACTGAAAATTTCATTAATGTGCTATTCACTCCTTCTTCAAGATCACTAATAGAATTGATTAACTGGTTAGGAAAAAATGAAAATTCTGAAGGTTAAAAAAATCCAGGAATACTAGTCGGAATGAGAGTGCACTAAGTAGTGCTTTCAAAAAAAATCAGTTCATTAAGCTGAGAAGGTAGCATACTAAAGTAGAAAAATCAAAGTAGGATTAAATTTTAGATCTTCCAGTTCCAAATCTGATAATGTTGCTTTGTTGCCACATCATATTCTTAATTATGCTTCCAGTTTGCACCTCTGTGACATTATTCTTAATTGTCTTTGGCAGCCTTTAAACAGCGGACTATTCCAGGGAATCTTGCATGTGAAAACTAAGCTTCCTTGGGTCAGCACTGTTTTAATTGAAAAGGAATAATGGCAGATTCTCTGGCAAGGCAGTAAGTCTAGAGAAGGATCTCTCTTGGATGGGAGATTTTTCTCAATCCCTCAAATAATGTTCACAAGACAATCCCCATTACATTTATCCGTCCATAAGACTGGACTTGACAGTGGTGCTTATTAAATGAGGGCTTCTCCAGAGGTGACACTGCCTGAAGTTATTAGCAGCAATCACTAGAAGAGTATTACATGCATTTATTGACACCTCTTCTGCACTATTATCATTAGTTTAATATATTTTGTAGAAAAAAAGTATTACCCCATTTATATGTGTCTTTAGTGAGAATCCAGGTTTAGGGAAAAAAAAGGAAAAAAGAAAATGCATTATACTACTAAGGGATTAGAACTTTGAAAAATGTATTCCATGTAAATCTCGAGTCTTAGAAATTCTGGTTTCTTCTATTTCCCTATTTACTTACTGGGTTACCTTGGACAAGCCATACAACTATCTTGAAGTTCAGCTCTTTGTGCAAAATGGAATAATGACACTTGCTTGAACTGCAGTGTAGCATTATGATTAAGATTAGATGAAATTTTTGTAAAATACTAAACCAGTGTGATTACCATTATAGTTATTTGTGCTTAGAAAGTTATGAGCAAGAGTTAGCTTAGTAGGCTGCCAATTAAACAGGAAAATATACCAAAATATCATGGCTAGTATGTACATTTAGACCACAAAGATAGGTGAATTTTTAGTTTTGGTGATCAATAACTCAGAGTTGAAGAGACTTACTAGGAAAGCTGGGAACCCCAAAGTAACTCTTAGGGCCAGCAACTCGATTTAAATTATTTGATACAATGAAGTATATCAATGATAAGTTTATTCCAGGAACTTTCACTCAAGATATGTTTTCATACTATTAATAGATATGAGTTAAAACAGTTCTTTAAATGGTGATTGGTAATAGATAATAGTGGCACTCTAGCTGGCAAAATAGCAGTTGTGTGTAAGTATTGAAGGTCATTAAATTTTGCTCAAATAGGCTGTCAGTATCCACATATGCTATTAAAGTAATAAATAGTAGTTTACCTTTGATCACTTTATGGGCTTTTTGCTAATTGCTTTGCTGCAATAAATCATTTTATTCACACAATAATCCTATGATCGATCCTCTGTCATAACCCCATGTTTTTAAAAAAAGAGAATGGAGGCACAGAGAGGCTAAGTAACGCACTCAAGGTCACACAGGTATTAAGTTGTACAGCCAGGATTTGCTCCCAAGGCAGACCAACCATACAGCCCATACTCTTTACTACTACAGTGATACCTTTGAGTTCTGTGGATCCTTAAGCTTATACAATTGGAGAACCCTCTTTGAAAAAAAATACAAAAATTATTAACACAGAAATGCTAAGACCCTTCCCATGGTCTTGGAAACATAAGCTTCATTAGATTCGGAGTCAATCTACCTGTTTCGATGATACGTATCACTTTGACTGAGTTAAACTTTTGGAGAAATAATAATGACATCATTCGCTTTACTGAACCACATGCTTTTCTACATGTGGGTGGTTAATAATTGAGATTCCATGTCATAATTGTTAGTATCTGAGATTTCATGTTATAATGCAGAAAGCTGCTACTATCTAATTAGTGGCAGTTACTGAAATCACAGCTTGGTCCTAGAAGGAAGTAAATAACTTTAAAAGTGCGTGTTTTGCAGATCACAGAAGAATTAAGTAGAAACCTTATCGAGTGATTTGGGGATGAAAAATATGAAACCTAAAGAGGAGGCAGTATAGGGAACTGGTACAACCATGGATCTTTGACTCCCATCCATCTAGATTGTGGAATCATAGAGCTAAAGTTCTACCTCTATTTCTGTGACTTTGTGCAGGTTTTCTGACCTCTCTCCCAATTTTCTTATTTGTAAGATGGTAATGATAAATGCCCATTTTAAAAGGAAGTAAGGATGAAATGAGATAATGAATAAAGAATTCTTACCATAACAATCTGGCAGATGATAACAGATATATATATAGAAGTAGTAATAATTGTTAATATAATTTAATTTGTTATAAGATTTGATTCCTGATCAAATAGCTTTTTGAATCCTTTAAACTGTTTCTTTCCCAAAAGAAATGCAATGATGGAAATGACACAATCATGATTTCCAGAAATTCAGGCATTTCCAGGAGACAGGTGGTAAATGGGAACACAATGTCCGCTCTTGGAGTTCCTTAAGTGAATAGCTAAGCTCTTTAAGAGTGGGCCTATATGGCTTAATGAGGTGTTACCTTTAACTAGCAAGGCTTTTGGTAAAAATTTAGTCCCCATACAGTTCCAGCACTTCTTGGGAACTGGAACTTATTGGTCCCAGAGGGAGAAACTTCTGTGGGAAATTCTATATTCAGAGTCCTGGACCACCCTCTGTTTTTCTTTCATTCTCACTACTGAATACACATGTCAGTAAAGCCTGATTAGAAAGCAAATAGAGTGTTTCTTGCAAGTTTTGCTGGACTGGTCTTGCAAAGCTCTGGATGAACTCCTACCATGCATCTGGCATTAAGCTGGGGTTGCTGACGACATCATTTTTGTCATTTTCATAGATGACATCCGTAAAAGAACTGAAATACACAGTCTCTCAGTCATTTTTCTCAGTGACCCAAATAAATTACATTTTAATAGTGGAACTTTTACACTTAACCTCTTTGAGCCTAATTTTTTTCTCTTAAATGGAGAAATGATTCCTACCTCACAGGGTGGTGGTATTTAACTAGATAGCATGGTATCTAACACATAAGAGGTTTCAATATATGCTAATTCTTATTATTATGTTTTCTGTCTTCTATAGCATTTTGTGATTCACAGATATCTTTCATAACATAAACTTAGTGGTTAAGTAAGTTTGAGGTGTGTTTGTTTTGTATTTGTAATATATGCTAACATGCATTGTTACACTTCAAGAGCGAAGTATAACATGGTGAGTTTCCCAAATTTAATTGCTAGGAAAAGTTTCCACAGAAGAGAGAAATGTTTTGCAGAGCACAATCTGAGAAATGCCGTATCTTATGCAGAACATTCTTCAAGAAGAGAGAAAGACCTCTGAACTCAAAGCTCTGACTCTTTATGGAGATTCTTAGAAATTAGGCAGTAATCCTAGCAAAAGAAGTGGGATATATAGAAATGACGGATGAGTCAGAAGTTTGTATTTTATGATCACAGCTTCATTTTTGGAGAAATTGGATTAATTTTATAGAAGTATATCTCTTTATTACCACTTCCTAAACAAAGAATTTCTGTGTCAGGAAAGAGGAGCTGAACACCAAAATTGGGGTTCCCTTTTCCAGGGCAGAGTTGTTACTAGGAAGAGGCTGCTCAGCTAGGCCTGCACTGCCTAGCTGCTTGCTTCTGGGTGTGGCCATGTGACTAGTACTAACCCACGGAATTGGAACAGAAATTATGTGTGCCATTCTGGGGCAAGGTTTTTAAGCAGCAAGTGTGCTGCCTTCAGGTTTTCTTTCCCTCCCAACTGGATAGATGAAGAAGATGCTCTAGCCTCTGTTGGTGGTGCCACAAGATGGAAGCCTGGGTCTCTAAACCATCACCCAGAGCAAAGCAATGTCTGGGAAGTACATTTGCAATGGGCTATCACACAGTGAGAGAGAAAACTCTGCTGTGAGGAGACACTTACTTGGGATATACTTGTTAGGGCAGCTGGGATTCACTAACTAATGCAGCCTCATCCTCCTTTTCTTTTTTTCCAGAAATATATTCTTCCTTGAAAGAGTACTTTTTTTTTTTTTGAGTCGGAGTCTCACTCTGTCACCAGGCTGGAGTGCAGTGGTCCCGATCTTGGCTCACTGCAAACTCCGCCTCCCGGGTTCAAGCGATTCTCCTGCCTCAGCCTCCCAAGTAGCTGGGATTACAGGTGCGTGCCAGCACGCCCAGCTAATTTTTGTATTTTTAGTAGAGATGGGGTTTCACCATATTGGCCAGGCTGGTCTCAAACTCCTGACCTCGTGATCCGCCCTCCTTGGCCTCCCAAAGTGCTGGGATTGCAGGCATGAGCCACCACACCTGGCCGAAAGAGTATTATTAAGCATATATTGCATTCAGTTCTGTGCAAGGCAAACGGTTGGGGAAAGGGGAAATGAAGAGGTTACATGTAACATCTTTCCTTGGAGAAAATTACAATGTGATTAGACAATTACCCTATTTCTGACAATCAGGTATGTACTCAGGGCAGGCGGATCTCCCTGAGCTCCCAAGGCTTATCTCCTGTCTTTGAGGATGTGCTGCTCTGCCGAGCGGCTTCCCAAAAGACATAGCAACTCTGCTGTGCTGTGTTGGGGATGGGGCAGATGTGGAACAAGTAATGTGCATGCCAGGGTTTGCAATACCCTAGCGGATCAGCCTCCCACCTGGTGCTGAAAAGTTTCTGAATAACTGGTGGTCTCAATGATGACTTTTAGTTCCAGCTGAGTAATTCTTAATTGTGGGTGAGAAAATTTCTTCTCAGGGTTTCAACTAGTAACTTTGTTCTCTACTGGTTAGGTTTGTATTCATTTAGCAAATCTTCGGCCATGTACACCATGCTAGGTCCCTAGGAGCAACAAAATTCCAACTTTTCTCACATGGAACTCAGATTGGGGGAGAGACGGGAATGCCCACAATCTCAGCCAACGTCATGAAAAAACTATAGTGAAGGGAGTTGAAGATTCTCACAGAAGGTGTTGCTTAGGAAAGTCAAGAAGAGAAGTAGGAATTTTCAGGAAAACGGGGGAGGGCTGATTAGAAGTGTGCTCTGGGCTGCAACACAGGCAAAATCAGGGTCTAGAAAGGGTAGAATGTGGGAGAGAGCCAAGCACCTCAGTGTGGTTGATATTTAAAATACTTTTCACATCTATAACAGTGCCTATGATAGGACGCTCAATAAATATTTGTGGAATGCATAAATACAGTACCAAGGAGGTTGGCATTTATCCTGAAAGAGACTAGATGCCATCAAAAGATTTTTAAGCAGAAGACTTAGATGAAAAGAAGAAAAAAGCAGTAGCTGGATTTCCAAAAAGCATACTGTTTAATTATGAGACAGTCCTTTGGAAAACTATGGCTGCAATATGGTTTTTCATTATGGGTAATAGAGATAAGAAGGCTATAATATTGTGCCTTTGAAATCTTAACTATGGAATTATTTGCTACTATCTTGCAATATTAAGAAAAAGAGGAGGCCCTAAGGCGAGCATTAAAGATCACAGAAAGTAAGACTTGGTTGATGAGTTACTTATTGAGAACATGTGCGAATGGAAAATGTGATATTGAAAACATTCCTACATAAGCTGAAGGTTGTTTATCCTATAGTACAATCAATCCCTATTATGATAGTATAAATAGAACCCTCAGAGAATCAGAGATGCCAAGGAGGACTTGAAATTTTGTTTGCATTCTCATCCACGGATGATGCTAAGAAAATAATGGCGAAAAAATCATTTGGAGATTGCAGGAAGGAGGGAAGACTTACAGAGATCCAAAAGAAAAGCCTCATTTTGAATTGGAAAGCAACTATGTATGTATGCAGGCTAGTGCATTTTGCAAGCAAGAAACTGAAAATGCCAAAATATCACTTTCTCTTCAGAGCTCTGTTGAACCCAAACCAGTATTTTATAGTATGGAAGATGATAGCTATTTCTATTATAAGTGGTACCATCATCCACAATTATGTTGACAGGAAGTATAGGGCCCCACTGGAAATAGTGAACTTTAATTTTCACCAGGAGAGTCTAAGAGTAAAGATTTAGTACAATAGGGTCATGAAAAATATCCTGTGCCAATTATTTTAACTAGCATGAAAATAGTCCAGTTTGATGATGTTTAAAATGTTACATAGCAGCCTAGCTAAAAAAATAATCTCTTATCGTCTCCGTTCTCTTTCTTTTATGGAGTGTGTTGGCAGAACCTTTTCTGACCATAAACAAGCAGGACTAAAGTGGAGATAATTCGGAGGGCCATTTACCTGTGTTCCTCCCCTGGAGGAAAGATACGGAAAGAGCCCAGAATTCCTCATTTATAGTTTAAGTTCCAGCCTACTATAATCTCATCTAAGGCTCATCTTTTCTAATGCCCTCTGGATTTGTAGGAGAGTTTCCCAGGGGCTGTTCTAACATGATTCAAATTCCAAATGCCTGGCAGAGTCCAGATGGAGTAACTTTTCACTGACAATGGCTACCATTGTACTCACAAGTATGTCTCTATCAATACGCTAAGAAAGTATCCTTTTGGGTGTTGGTTCCTGTAACCTAGCATGTTAGATAGAGTACTATGCTTGCTCTTACTTAGATATAGTATATGCTCGAGGGATCGTCTCTCGACCTCGCTTTCTGTCCTAGGAGGCTGACAAGTATGGATTACATCAACAAGCTCCCTTGCCCTTTGCCTGGCTGGATTCCTCCATCAAATCACAGTTCCTGTCAGATGGTCCTCTCCACACAGCCCTCTCACTCCTGGATTTGGTAAATGCTTTCTTTGCTTACCCCTTCAGGCATGAGGTGGTGATAGTGCTCCACTGTTACTACCTCTGCAGTACTGCATTCTCTTTGCCATCTCCATATGCTCTGCTCTCCTCTGTGCACACAGTGCTTTTGTTAATCTCTCCTTAAATTATGCCAGTTCAAGTATTCCACCTATTTTCTACCTCGTTTTCTACTCTAGTTAATGTCAGCTTCACTCATAATTAACTCAGCACATGCCACGCTGGGCGGTGGTTACTATGTCAATGCACCAACTTCCCATCGTTTTTATTTCATAATTTGCCAGGGAGAAGGAATTATCTTATGCCCCCTTAATCTCATGCACCAACTAGCTTGGAGTGGTGTATTGTAGTTGACCCCTGAATATTGGTTCAGTGAATGCCTAAAATGTTAATGGATCATTTGAATCTCAAATTTTCAGGCTAATCAGACTAAAACATCTCCAAAGAGATGAGAACCTTTTGTGGGTAATTTAAGAATTCTCTAAACTTCAGAATTACTTAGAAGAGATAGCAAAAACAAAAAAACAAAAAAACCAAAAAATCCCCATATTTTCAAAGGAATTTTTTCAAGTCACATGTTAAGTATTTATTTAAAAGTTGGGATTAGTTGGCAATTATTTTTGCCTTAACTATCTGTAAATGATCTTATCTCAAAAATATTTTCTCTGGGTTTCAGCCACTCATTAAAAAGAGAGTGATTTTCAAGGGTCAGAATATAGTGGTTATTGGTTTTTGAGTTCTATGTTCCTATTATAACTAGGTAGTTTACATGCATTATCTCACTTAATATAACAATAATGAAAACTTATTATAGTTAGCCCCACTTACCAAATAAGAAACTAAGGCTTAGAGAAAGTAAGCAAAGTGTCAAATACATGTATGGGAAAATCTAACTCATCAGGGAGTTAAGTTTGAGTTGCAGTATGGGTAAAGAGAAGGCGAGATTCTCATGTTTGATCTGGAGGAAGGGGAATGGCCTCACTGGGAGATGGTAGGGCGTAGAAAGAGAGGTGTAGGGATTTCTGAGGTTGACAGAAACCTATTCCCTATTTGTATGCAGTAGCCCAAAGTAGTATTTGCTATAAGAATCTTGTGGAGGCTGATACTAGAGTGCTATTACAACAAGAATGCTGCAGAACAGATCTCTGCAAAAGACAGAGCTTGAAACAACAATCCCTTGGAATCATTCACATATCAGCAGTTCTCCTGGGTTTTCACAGATCTGGTCTGGGTTCAGCTGAGTGGCTTTAATGACCACAGGTCTCCAGATTGTCTGGAGATGCTCTGCTTCACTCTGTGGTGACTGGTGCAGCTCTGCTCACATGGCTCAGCACCCACTTAGGACCTGTGAGCAAGCTGGAGAATGTTCTGCTCATGCCAATGCTGGAGGAATAAAAGGACAAGTGGAAGTACACAGGCTTCTTAAGGTGTAGACTTGGAACTTGCACATGGTCGTTTCTGCTTCATTGTATTGGCCAAAGCTTCTCACGTGTCCCAATCCAAAGTCAGGGGTAGGGGAAATACACTCTGTCCCTTTAGTGGTAGCAACTGGAAAGTCAACTGGCAAAGGATGTAGATCTTGGGGAAGTGAAGAATTGGAGGAAATAATGCAGTCCATTATAACTGAACATTGACTCTCATTTCCTGATTTCAAATGATGTTGATCATATTTTGGTTTGTTTATATATTCTTTGTTCAATTCTCTATGGCATTAATTTTTCACGGCCTTGAGAGAAAGGAGTGTCTGCAGAAAAAAAGCACCTTGTGTTTTCCAGCATTGAGTACCACTACTGCTTTAGAGGAGGGGAATGATAAAACTCTATACTTTTTTGTTTGCATATAATATAACTCGTGAGATTTAAAATGTTCATTTGATACCAAATCATAAGATTCTTTTGCTTTGCTTTTGGAACTGAAATATCCATACAAACTCATCAGAGAGCTAATCACTTTAGATGTTGGGGCACAGAGAAAAACATTTTGAGAGGAGACTATATGGGAATAGACTTGAATCTGGAAATAAACTGGCTTAATACCACGTGCCTAGGATTTGTGGTACAAAGAAACAAGCGTTTCATGTTGTCTTACCTCTATGAGGCTCCATTGGTCTCTGTCCCCTTTCTTACTCCTTGCAAGTTCACATGGGAGCGTGTGCTTATTAACAGAGTGTCCCCATTGGGTCTCTTCTTTCAATGTAACATGCTCACTGTCCATGAGAACTGCAGGTGTCATCCAAGACTATGAGGCTACATCTTCAACCTTCTCTAGGTTGCAGCAACTGACCTTTCTCACCTTCTCATGAAAAGCCTCCTATTTCATGCCCTCTTACATGTTGTTTGCATAATTTTATAGACATAGCTCTGTACATACATAGTCAAGACTAACATGGGCATGCTTTCAAAAACAACTAAAAATTTTGTTTGACCTGTGATTTTCTACCCCTTTTTGGTCACCCTTTATGGAGATTTAAATATTTTTGTGTGTAATAATGCTGATTTGCCAAAACAACATGGAAATGTCTGGCAAGTTTTTATGGGAACAAGAGAATAAACTATTTGGAATTGAATTTATCGAAACACACAGGAAGAAGTTTTCTATGCCTCTTTTACAAAACACTCCACATTATTTTATAATCAGAAGAGAGGCTGAGCACATTCCCTTGCCCATCCCAAGCCAATTATTTATGGCCTTTTCCTAGCAGTGATAAAATAGAGCCAAGGCATAAAATGTCATAAGGAATTCTAGAAAGGAATTAGAAGTAACCCTTAAATATTGCATATTGCCTATTCTTAGCAGCGTTGACAGATGTTGACCTTTGATAGGGACGTGTGTGTGCTTGTGCATGCTCATTACTCTAAATGGACTAGAAGTTCAACTTGGAAAGACTGATAACAAAATTATAACTGTCCAATAGAAATGATCTGAAATTCATGCAGCTAGATCAAAAGCCTCCCCCAGCTCCAAATGAGCAGTAACTGGAATTAATTACATTATGGAACCTTCCCAACTGCAGCTTAAATCATTTAAGACTTGTTTGGTATGGCACCTGCTGCTCACTTATTTTTAGGAGAGAAAATATACATTCTTGAGCATAAGGGCCTGAAGGATTTTTATACCCAAGGAAAAGCCTAAATGTGCCAAAATGTTGGGAGCTGAATTTTTAGACTGGTAGCTTAATTTGCTTCTCTCCCATGGGGTTCAAGGAGCTGAGATCACAGTGAAAAGAGCTCCCAGCCTTATGACGCGTCCATGTCCTTCCTGTAGGAGCCTTAGTGGGAGGTCATTGTGAAGACTGCTTCAAGCTTTCGAACACTTGAGCTGCAGACTTCATTACAGCAAGCAAAAGGGTGAGCTTAAGAAAAGAAGGAAAAAAGCTGGAATTCCAAATATTTGCTTAGTTTTCAAGAGTGCTTCAACCTTCGTGATCCCTCAGAGTGACCTTTACGTTTCAGAAATGAGAAACCCTGACCTAATTACTTTCTAAGGTTTCTGATACTGTCATACCTTATATAATATTCTGCTACCTTTACAAAAATAAAGGTTAGAGGAGAGTGCTGAAGGTATGTCTACATGTGAGAGGTCAGATGGGAAAGGAGGGCATACATCTCTATGTCTATATCACTCATACTTGCTGTGAGAGTGCTTTGGTACAGGTATGTCTACATGTGAGAGGTCAAATGGGAAGGGAGGGCATATATCTATATGTCTGTATCACTCATACCTGCTGTGAGAGTGCTTTGGTACAGAACTGTGGTGTCCAGTTATGGTGGCCAGTGGCCACCTGTTGCTATTTAAATTTGTTAGTTAAATTTAAGTGTAGTTATACGTTCAGTTCAATTCCTCAGCCACACTAGCTACATGAGGCCACTATATTAGATTGTATAGATTTAGAATGTTTCCATCATCACGGAAGGTTTTATGGACAGCAGTAGATAGAGGTCTCCTTTGTAAGACAGGACTTACTCTTAGGAAAAAAACATTTGTGCAAAATATTTAAAGCTTCCCAAGTTAAAAAAAAAAATTAACCCACATGTTTGTACAACCTAATTTCTTCTAACCAAACTGAGGTGTATTTGAAGTTTGTGGTGCTTCCCATTTACATATAGAATGACTTTCCCTCGTTCCCCATCACTGACTCTCTACCCCAAATCTCTCTCACACTTTGAGCTGTATTTTTATTCTCACCTCCCGGCCTTAGCTTACACTGGTAGCACATCTTTACAAAGGATAGCTTGTCCTTTCTTCGCTGCTTACCTCAAACCAATCCCTCCTTCCAGGTAGCGTTAATATGTCATATCTTCTGTGAAGACTTCTTAAATCACTGGTTCAGTTGATCACTTTCTGTTGTCATAATTTGCCACCAATTTTTGTATTATTCTTTGATTGTTACATGCGGTAGTTTCCATTTCTCAATTAGAATAGAGTGTCTTTGAGAATAGGGATCCGGTCTTACATTCTACTCATCAGAAGTGACCTTTGCCATTACAATCAGGAAATTTAACTTCGATTACTTTGATCTACAATCCTATTCCACTTTTGTTGATTATCCCATTACTTTTTTTATAGGAAGCAATTTTGGTTTTTCTCTTGTACGATCCGGTTTAGGATCAGGTGTTGCTTTTAGTTATGACTTTTAGTCTTTAATCTGAGACAGTTTCTTGGCTTTTCATTGTCTTTCCTACCATTGGCATTAAAAAATACAGGCTGTTTATTTAATAATATGTATCTAAATGTGATTTTTCCAACATTTCCTCACGTTTAGAATCAGGGTTATAACTTTTGAAAGCACTACTAGATAAATGATATTATGTTATTGTCAAGATATTATGAAGTGACATCATGTCTGTTTCTCCTTTATAGATGATGTCAATTTTGATCATTTGATTTAGGCATTGTTCAGTTTCTCCACCATATAGTTATTATTTTTCCTTTGGTACTTAATAATTTAATGTGGGCAGATACTTTGGGATGTGCTCTCTTCCCATCAAACTCTTCTGTTCCTCAGATTTAACATCTATGATGATTCTAGCCAGGATCACTTCTTACTATGATGATTACAAAAAGGTGGTTTTCAAAATTCATACTTTTTCCGTATATTTTTATAAGTCAGAATTCTATTATAGGAATGAGTTTTCTCTTTTCTTAATGTATTTGTTTACTTGCTTGCTTGTTTATTTACAGTGTGGATTAATGAGTTCAATTTTATTAATAGGTTGTAATCTATTGCTATTGCTATCCTTATTTATTTCAATGATCAAATCCCCCACATTTGGCCAGTTGGAGCTTTTTCCAAGTGACTCATGTATCCTTATAACATATTTCTGCTTTTATATTTTTTAGTGTTCCTTTACTTTCTGGCATAACAATATATTTTAGGCTCATCTTTACTTTGTTTGCCCCAGCCCAGAAATCAGCCATTTCTCCTGGTGGGGAATGGTATTTAGAAATCAAGATCTGAGTACAAATCTGCAATTTGGGCATGGCTTTGTGGGAAGGGTTGCTTCTATTCCATGTACCATCAGCTGGGATTGCTCAACTGAGATACTGTCTTAGTTTGGGCTGCTATAACAAATTGACATAGAATGGCTTAAACAACCATTTATTCCTCATGTTTTGGAGGCTGGAAGTTCAAGATATGGGTGCCAGCATGGTCAGGTTCTTAGGGAGGGCATGCTTCTTAGTTATTTTCTTACACAGCCTTTTCCTCATGCAAGGATGGAGGGAGATCTTAAGTTTCTTTCTCTTTTTGTAAGGACCTACTCATCAGAGGACTCCTGACCTCCTCTAAACCTAACCACCTCCCAAAGGCCTCTCCTCCACATTGGTAATTAGGGTGTCAACATACAATTTGAGGGGGACACCACACAAACACTCAGTCCAAAGCAGTTTTCCTATACCCAAATAAATAATATCTTCCCATTTGTTCAAATGTACTTTTTGCCTTTTTTAAAAAAAAGTTTTCTTCATATAGGTTTTCTATATTTCTTACTAAGTTTATTTCATTTTATACATTTGCTATTATAAATAGGATTTCTTTTCCATTATGTAACACCTGCTTGATGATTATTTGTGCATATGGAGGCTATTAATTTTTAGATGTTAATTTTATTGCATATTAGTTTACTGATTTAAAAAAATTTGTTAAAGTAGTTTATTATATTCTCTAAGGGTTTTGAGGCATATCATAATTTTATCTGCAAATAGCAATAGTTTTACTTCTTTTCCAATTCTTATGACTTTAACTTTTTGCTCTTCTCTAATTTTATGGGCTAATATCCCCAATATATATTGTCAAATGTAATAGGGGTAAGGATCATGCTAGCCTTGTTCCTCACTCTTGTTAGAACATCTCTAATGTTTCTCCATTAAGTAAGATGTTAGCTTTAGGACTGAGGTATCTATATATATTTTATCAAGATTAGAAAATGATATCCACTCCTATAATCTTAACTATTTTCATTAAGATAGGTGTTTGACTCTGTTAAATGTCTTTTCAACATATTTGAAGATAATTATAAAATTTTTCTTTTTAAACCTTTTTAAATCTGTTGAATTCTTTTAATCAATTTCTTAATAATGCACAATTCCTGCATTTCTAACATAAATTCTGCTTGGTCATGGTGTGTTCATAATGTGCTGTTGAAGTTTACTTGAAGATATTTTATTTAGGATTTGTCCACCAATAATCCTATGTTATATTAGTCTGTAATTATCTTTTTTTGGTGCTATTTTTATCAGGTTTAGATATAAATATTATAATTGCCTATTAAAGGGATCTGAAAGTTCTCTTCCATTTTCTATTCTCTGAGACAACTGACGTACCATCAGGCTTATCTGGTGACTGCTAAAGTTTTAGTAACATTTCCCTTGTGAAACCACCTGGACTTGTGCTTTTTTGTTGGATGGATCCTTCATTGTTTTTGCCATTTCTTCCTCAGAAATGGATCATTTAATCTTTCTATTTCTACTCAAGTAAATTTGGTAAATTAAATATTAATAGAAAATTATGCATTTCATCTAGCTCTCTACTTTTTTACATACGTGTATGCAAATTAATTTCATGATTTAAAATCTTCCTCTGTATTAATATTTATCCCTTGTCATTTCTCATTCTGTATTTCTGTATTTTCTCTCCTTTTTTTCATTAAATTGGCTAGCAATTTGTCTATTTTGTTTTTACATTAAAAAAACTAGAATTTTTATTTATGAATTTGCTTTTTTCTCTCTACCTCATCAATAACTTTCATTTTTAACTTTATTATTTCTTTCCTGTGCTTTCCTTTAGTTTTCTTTGTTGTCCTTTCCTAATTTCTCAGCTCGGTATTTAATTTATTTCCATTTTTAGATGTTATTGATATAAATTTTCAAAGCTAAGAATTTTACTCTAATCATCATTTATAAATATAGCTCATTGATTCTGATATATAGTATTTTTATTAGCATTATTTTTATAGAAATTCTATAATTCCTGTTTGTATTTTTCCACTTACTCAAAAAGTGTTCATTTGAAATTTCTTTTTTCTGGTGAAAGCATATTTTGGTTTTTGGTGTCAATTTAAATTTCTAGTTATATTGCATTGTGATCAGAGAGTATTTTTGTAATTTTTCTACTTTATGGAAGTTAGCAACATTGTCTTTGCAAAAGAATGTATGATCAATTATTATGAATGCTTCCTGTTCTTGAGAAGTTTTATTCTTTATTATCAGGGTGAGTTGTTATATATGTATTATTAAGATCTACACTATTGATTGCATTCTTTCAGCCTGCTAAAACTACCTAAATATTGTAAACTCAAACATGTACTGAGAACATGTTAAAGTCTCTGATGATTTTGCATTTTTTTCTACCTCTTTTGCATCTCCTGTAGTTTTGCTTTATATGGGTAGTTGTTGTGAGATATACGTACATATATATATATGTCTGTGATTATATATATAAAATTGTAAATATTGGCTTTTAGTTATAAAATATGCTTTGTCTCATTTATGCTTTTTTTATTGAATTCTACTTTGATATTAGGATTGCCACTCTGCTCTCTTTTTTATTTGTTACCTTTGAATTTCTTTTTCTATTGATTTATTTTAAACCTCTTTGAGTTACATTATTTTAGATGTTCTCTTGTACGGCACAGAGTTGGGCTTTACTTTTGAGTCAATTTGAAATCATTTTCTTTTATTGGTAAACTGAGGCCAGGTGCAGTGGCTCACACTTGTAATCCCAGCACTTTGGTAGGCTGAGGCGAGAGGATAGCTTGAGCCCAGGAATTTGAGACCAGCCTGGGCAACATAGTGAAATCCTGTGTCTACAAAAACAAAAATAAAATTAGCCAGGCATGATGATGTGTAATCCCAGCTACTTAGGAGGCTGAGGTGGGAGGATTGCTTGAGCCTGGGAGGTCAAGGCTGCAGTGAGTAGTGATGGTGCCACTGCACTCCAGCCTGGGAGGTAGTATGAGACCTGGTCTGAAAAAAAGAAAAGGAAAGTCAAATTAAGCCTAGTTACATTTGTTGATGTGACTAATATGTTTGGTCTCAACACTGTCATATTTCTTTATGCAACAGAGTCTTTGTATAGCACTCTGTTCGTTTAGTAAATGTCTTTTAGTATTTAGAAAAGTTTGTATTTTTAATGTAATGATTAGTTTTGTGTCTATACATTTTATGGTGCCCTTTTTTTTCCTAGTTAACTTTTCACTATCTTGTATGTTGGTTTTAAATGATACCATTTGACTCCTACTTCCTATTAAATGATCAATTATTCCATTTTAATTTTCTCTTTCTCATAGTCAGTTGCATTTTTACACTTTATCAAAACATAGAATGTTTACATACTATTCTCTCATCCATGCCCCACCCTTATTTTAGTCTTGAATCTTTGATTAAATGTATTAACCTCTCATTATTAGTCCCTTGTCTAAATTTTCCTAGTCATGTCTTGATTGCATGGAGCTTGTGTTCTAGTAGATTCTTTAGGAAATGCTTCTAAGAAGAGCATTTCTAAGAAGAGCATCTCCTGAATTCTTGCACATTTATAGTTGTCTTTCTGTAGGTTTGCTGCTTGCAGGAGAGCTTAGTTTCATATGCAATCCTTGGCTCCTGCTTTCTCTCCTTGAGTTTGTTGAAATTACTATTAACTCTTGTTTTCCTTTGTAGGTTTCTGCTTGAGAAATCTGATACCTGTGCAATTTGTTACCTTTATCATAATTAGTTAAGTCTTCAGTTTTATTAGACTCCGTCTCAGAGTTGATCATTCCAGGTCAGTTTTTCCAGATACAAGGTGAACCCTTTTTGTATGTAGATTTTCTTTTTCTCTTATTTCTGGAAAAGTTTCTGATATTACACACACACACACACACACACACACACACACACACTATATATATATGTATTATATATGTATATAATATACATACACATTTATATATAGAGAGAAGAATGTCCTTTCAGTGACTTCAATTATACATTTGTTGAATTTTCTTTGCTTTCCTTTTCAACCATTTTCTCTCTCTTTTTACTCCATTTTCTCATGTTCATTCTTTGTTCTTTCATCTTTATTCAATGACTCTTGATTTTATTTTTCTTAGACACTTTGTAATTTTTTTTCATTTTTGAGATTTTTTCTTTAATTTCTTTCTGAAGTTCAATCACTATTTATTGTATTTTTCCAGTTTTGCTTTTATTCTTCATTTTTAAATTTCTGACTTTAGATATTTTAATATCTGCAAATGATTGAGGAAATTACATTTTCAATATTGGATTCCAGTTTTATCTCATCATTGCTTTTCTTGAGGGAGTTTATCATCAACTGAAACGTATGCATTAGAATTTTTTTTTTTTTTTTTTTTTTTTTTTTTTTTTTTACAGTTGCTCTATATAGACTTTGTCTGAGTTCTTGTTTTTCTTATATTCCGAGGCAATTCAGTGACAGGGCTCATTACTGAAGACGACTTCCTTGTGCTAGAATAGTTAAGGCAGTTTCTTTAATGAATAATCATTTTGTTGGTGAAGATATTAGAGTAGGAGTTCATGTAACTTGTATTTCCCTTTTTTTCTGCAGGACTCTTAACTTTTCTTCCCATTTTTCTTATGTTGCTTTAATGCCACATCTTTGAGCAGATAGCTGTCTTTTTCTATCTTCTTCGCCCAAAATGCTTTTTAGAGATATCAGTAGAACTTCTCATTTCACTCACTTACATGCTTCTTCTCTGTTTCCAGTAGTATAAACCACCAAGTCCTAGACTTCGCATGTTCTCTTTCTGGTAGTTACTTTTACCTGGGTTTTATGTTAAGTCTGATACACCCCTCTCTTGGAGATCCCAAAGGCAACTCGTCACCCTCTAAACCTACAAGGTTTCAGTGGCCATGAGAGCTTCATTGGAATTTGGTGGTTTTCTTCCCCTACTTACAGGTGTGTGGTGCTATCTATCTTCTAGTAATTTTGAAGAGGTGGTTTATGTTGGTTTTGTTTGAGCTTCTTGTTGAGCTCAAGACATTTTGGTCAAATGTATAGAGTTTAGGATTCAGGAAGCTGCTTTTATGCTAGGGTCAACTAAAACCTCTCCAATAACTTCTAAGGTTTTCTTTTTACTCTTGATGATCTGTATTTTACTATAATGGGCTCAGATATAGATTTATTTTATTCTTCTTGTCACTTAAAGTGTACTTTAAATCTGAGAACTTAGGATTCTTCAATTTTGGAAAATTCTCTCATTTATATATATATATATATATGTATGTGTGTATATGTATAAAACTGTGTGTGTGTGTGTGTGTGTGTGCGTGTGTGTAAAAATAGTTCTTTCTTTCCTGCTAGGACTCTGGTGGATACATGTTAGAGTCTCCCAAACTCTCCTTCCTATCTTTTAATTACTCTTTTACACTTTATTTCCTTATATCTTTGTACTGTCTCTGGATGAATTTCTCAGTGCTATTTTCTATTTCATGAATTCTTTGACCATGTCAATCTGTAATTTATTGCATTTGTTGACTTTTTAAGTATCATTGAGTACATGCATTATTTCTAAGATTTCTGATTGATTTTCTTTTATATCCACTTGTACTTCTTAAATTTGTAAATGTTAAAAGTTTTTATTTCTTCATTTATCTCTTTGAGCATCTTAAGCATATTTATTATAATTCTTTGTCAAATGTCTTTAACATATAAATTTCCAGAGTAAATTCATGATTATGTAGTTCATTTCTGGGGGACAGAGAGACTTCTCCCTTTAATATTATCTAACTTCATATTCCTTTTGAATTCTGTATTTTGGATTCATTTAAATTGAACATTATGTGGGCTTTGATTTGTTATTTCTCTATGTCATCACTCTTCCCCATGTATCATGTTTATGTTGTCGTCCATTCTGTTTCTTATGCACCAGACTAAAACCAAGATTTATAATGGTGGCCTGGGACTTTCAGCCCATGATGGTATTGGAGATACTGGAAATTCTATGACTAAGCTGGAAGACAGTTTAACTCAGTTCCTCGTATGTGGAGACTGTGTGTGTTCTCCAGCCTCCTTGAACCCCCAGATTCTTACAATCCATAGCATCAGGCTATGATGAACTCAGCTTGGTAAGCTGGTTTATCAGCTTATTTTCATGAGTGGAGAGCCCTATTCCATCTCTCAATTTCTAGATTTAGTTTGTTATTCAGCAAATGACAAGAACATGAGGCAATTGGAAGGAAGCTATCCAGTATACCTGACTAATGTGAACTTATCCTTCATATCTCAGTTTAAATGTCATCCTAAGAGATTGTGACATTGACCCAAGTTCTATGTCTGAGATGTTTCCTTTTCTCTCATAGCACTCTCCATGAATCTATCTTGACCCTCAAACCACTATATTTTAATTAATTACCAGTTAACTAACTGGTTTGCATTTTCTTTTCTTTTTTTTTCTTTTTTTTTTTTTTGAGATGGAGCCTTGCTCTATTGCCAGGCTGGAGTGCAGTGGCACATGATCTCGGCTCACTGCAATGTTCGCCTCCAGGGTTCAAGCAAATCTCCTGTCTCAGCCTCCCAAGTAGCTGGGACTACAGGTACGTGTCACCATGCCCAGCTAATTTTTATATTTTTAGTAGAGACGGAATTTCACCATGTTGGCCAGGATGGTCTTGATCTCTTGGCCTTGTGATCCGCCCACCTTGGCCTCCCAAAGTCCTGAGACTACAGGCATGAGCCACCACGCCCAGCCACTTGTTTGTATTTTCACAGTAGATTATATGTGCCATGAGGGCAGATATCAAGGCTTCATTACCATTGTATGCCCGGTGCCTAGTACAGAGTCTCAAGGATAGTTCAAGTTTAATATACATTGGTTAAATAAGTGAATGTGAATCTAGACCTCTTTTTCCCTCCTAGCTTTAACTTTCTAAGAACGTTGACAGGTTGTCATTCATAGCCCCAGGGTAGCAGATGAAGAAGTAGTTGTGAACAGCACCACAGCATGAAGCTGCAGTTTGAGCAGTTTTCCTCTGTAATACACCAGCCTTTCAGAGTGCCTGGTGTGACACCACTATCATTTTTGCAGAGCGCCAATAAAAATGATTTGATATTGTTAAGGATGATTTCTCGAATGTGTTTCTTAGGAAGAAAGGGAAACGGAAAAAATGAGGTTTTAAAACATTTTAGTTTTTTGAGGAAAGAAATAAGAGTGAAGAAATAAAGGAGGAAAGGAGGGCAAATGAAGCAGAAGAAAGATGTGGTAAGCCTACCTCTAAGAGGCAGTATTACAGAGAGGAGAGAGCATGGATTTTAGAGTCAGAACTGAATTTGGATCCTGGCTCAGCTACTTATGAGCTGTCGGGCAAGTCAACCCCAGTGCCCTCTTATGAAATGAGCATCATAGCCATTATGTAGAGTTATAGAGGATTAAGACTCCCTCTGTAAAGGGCAAATACAATATGTGATATATAACAGAAACTTCACAAATGGTTGCCACACCATCCTCATCATTATACCACCATTAGCATAACCAAGGAACTAACCACATGTGAAAGGGGAGAACACAGGGGCCATGTCTTCTGACTATCGTGAGTCTTGGTATCACCTATGGGCTACTGTTGATGCCTGACATTGATGATTTTATTTCATTTTTTGCCTCTTCTAAATCTAAGACTGATGCAATCTATCATGATGTCATTTTGTAGACAGTGCACTTGCTGGTTTATGAGCAAATCCTCCCTCCTAAAATTCTAAAAAAAAAAAAAAAAGAAGAAGAAACCCGGGAAGTGAAAGAGACAGACAGGTAAGGAGATAGAAACAGTAGGGAGATGACACAGAACCCTCCCAGTCACTGACCGAGGCCTGCGAACTGAAATGGGTTAGAGGTAGTCAGAAGGCAGATATGCCTGAAGAAAGAGGCGGATGATGCATGTCTCCTTCACCATCAGAAAAATGATTCATTCTGGTATTTTGAGCAGAAGACATATTATTGAGCAACCAGAAGACAACATACAACACAATTTACATACCCCATCTCATTGTGACGTAGATATTTTATTGCCCATCTTTTAGATTAAGAAATAGCCATTTGGAGGAGCTAAATAAATTGTTCAAGCTGACATGACATAACCATTAAAGATAATGGCTGGGATTAAAATTAAAATCTAATTAGCTACAAAAGCTGTAACTGTTGCACTACTATAAGAAAGAGACAAGATGCAGGATGGAGGACAGCTTGGCTTACACATGTTGGAGCTGTTTCTATGGTAGGGTAACGGAGAATTGTAGGTCCCTATTATTACAGATGCATAGTGAGTGAAAAGAGGCTTAACCTAGCTGTCAGAGCCACCTCATAGGGAAAAATGCTAAGTGCCTTGAAAATAATTTACTTTCTAACTCCTGGAGGGGGTGGTGGTGGTGTCAACTCATTGTTCCAGTTGACTGATACAGAAACTAAAGCTTTTTAGCTTTGCCAGCTTGTGAGTACAAATATGGTTTGATTAAAATTAAAAAACCTAGTTTCAATGGCACTGAGCCTCAGTTGCTAAATCTTAAAGAGCTAGAAGTGTAAGTTTTCATAGTTTCCCCATTCAAAGTATTTCCGATAATTCCTAAAGCGTACTCTTAGATTATCCTCTTGTCTTCTTGCTGCTTCACTCGCTGTGCAGGAAGTGCTCAGCCTCAGTTCCAGGAAATTCCACAGAGATGCTGTTTCTAGCTATGAGTCTGTTCCAACTTCTCTGAGAAACTCCCTTTAGATGTGAGTGGAGCAAGCAATCTACTAGTTCTCCACCACGTTTTCAGTGCTGGTGGATCTGGAGACCCTGGAATAGCATTGATCCAGGAACCCAGAGCTCCTCTGAATTCTCAGTGCTGCTGGAAAACCCAGGATTCATGACACTCTTATGAAATGGGCAGGAGTGCCCCACTGTGTTTCGCTCAGTTAAGTTCAGTCCTACAGCAAAGTTGCTTGAGCCCAAACATGTCACAGTACTTAGTGATACAGTCCTTTAAATTTAGAACCTCTTCTTTGCCAGTTGTACAGATGAGAAGTTTTGAAATTAATCTCCCAGAACCCTCAATTCCTTCCAAGCTCTAAACCCTATTACTATTTAAGGTATTCAGAAATTATGATGCAGATGTATAATTCTGCTTCAATGCCTCAAATTTGATAGTGTCCTAGGGTGATACTGATCTCAAAGAAGTAGAAGTAAAATTTTAGGCACTATTATGAAAAAATTTAAAGTTAGGGCTTTTCTTTGTGCCTCAAATCACATATGCCTAAAGCAGAGTTTGGCAAACCTTCTGTAAAAGGCCACAGGGTAAATATTTTAGGCTTTGGGGGCCGTAGAGTCTCTGTCACAACTATGCTACTCTACTGTTGTGGTATAAAAACAGGCATAGACAATTACATAAACAAATTGGCATGGCAGTGTTGTAGCAAAACATTAGTACAAAATCAGGTGGTAAGCTGCATTTGACCCATTGGCCATAGTTTGCTAACCTCTAGCCTAAAGCATGGCCTTTGGAATTATTTTTCTATTTGAATTCTCATTGTTATTCATATCTATGCTGTACCCAGACATGTTCTTTAATCTCCCTGAACCTCAGTTTTATCATCTGTAAAATGGGATTGTGCCATTGACCTCATTGGCCTACTGTAAAGATTAAGAAGATATATGTTCAAAACCATCACCCCGACCAAAGTAACCTGCGTAACATATAGCTAGCATCCTGTTAAGTTCATTCATTCTCTTCTGCTATTGTTTGAATGTTTATGTTCCTTCCAAATTCAAATGTTGAAATCTTAACTCCCCAAAGTGATGGTATCTGGAGGTGAGACCTTTGAGAGGTCACTGGAGTCCTCATAAAACAAAACTCAGAGAGACCACTTTCCTCTTCTACCATGTGAGGATGCAGCAATAAGTCACCTTCTTTGAGTCAGAGAGCAGGTCCTCATCATACATGACTCTTCCTTAATATTGGATTTCCCGGCTTCCAGATCTGTGAGGATTACATTTCTTTGTTTATAAGACACTCAGTTTATGATATTGTGTTATAACAGCCTCAATGAAATGAAACTTTTTTTTTTTTTAACCTCTAGTCACTTTTTCTAATTAGCAGTCCTGATTAGAGGACTATAGCCAGGGCAATAAGTGGCCAGGGAGGTTTTCTCTGAGGATAGACGTCAAGACTGGGAAAAATAGGACTCTCCATTTCAGGATCAAAATATGGAGGCCTGAGGTGAGTTTTCACCACATGCAGTTGTTTCTGTTCATCCCCTTATAGGGAATTGAGATTCAGGCAAAAAGTTGACATGACAGTTGGGGAGAAAAACATTTATTTCTTGTACTTAGCAAGAAGTCCCGTCTGCTATAACACCCTGTACCCCACTAGAAAATATAAATCGGGGTGATCTGCATTGGGACTGAGTAGAGATCTTGTGTGTGGACAACATAATCCCCAACCTCAGGGCCCAGGCACACGCATTTGTCTGCTAGAAGGCAGAGTGCCCTCTAGTGTTGGTGATGTGGATAACTTGGCTGATTGATCAGGGTGGCAGCAGGAGGCTCAGCGGCCCAACATACACTTTATGAGGCTTGCTGTCTTACTTCCCTTCACTTTATGATGTGGGGATAGTTTGCACAATTTGTGGGAGCCAGGTGTTCTCCTTCCTTTGCACAGCAGGAGCCAAAAGAGAATTTCAGGGGAACTTCTAACAAAACCATTTTTACTTGTTTCTGGCTGCTGAGTTTTGAGTCTGATGAACCTTCCATCCCTTCATTTAAGCTACAAGGCTCAGGCTATATGATTGGCTACTCACTTGTTTGTTTGTTTTCTGATGATGATTACCTAATGCTTCTTTGGGATTGGAGTTCCTGATTGTTTGAGTTGAGTGCAGCCAGGTGGCCAAGTGCACTGGCTCTCCCTGATCAAGTCAGCTGCAACTCAGTAATCCTCTCTCCACCCCTCACTCCTACCACCACCTTTTGTAAATGTCCTAAGGAATGCTGAGGAGCATTTCCCAGGTACACGCACAGCAATATTGTCAAACGGCACGTTTGCAACCCAGAAAATAACTCTAAGATTTATTGGTATACTTTTACATATATTTATTGATTGAATAGGAAAAAGCATGTGAATTTGGAACCTATTTTTTCTTTATTCTTTAAAAAATGGGAAACATGTGCAGAACATGCAGGTTTGTTACACAGGTATACCTGTGCCATGGTGGCTTGCTGCACCTATTGACTCATCCTCTAAGTTCCTTTACCTCACCCCCACCCCCAACAGGCCCTGGTGTGTGTTGTTCCCCTCTCTGTATCCATGTGTTCTCAATCTTCAACTCCCACTTATGAGTGAGGACATGCAGTGTTTGGTTTTTTTGTTCCTGTGTTAGTTTGCTGAGGATAATGACTTCCAGCTTCATCCATGTCCCTGCAAAGGACATGATCTTATTCCTTTTTATGGCTGCATAGTATTGCACGTTGTATATGTGCCACATTTTCCTTTTCCAGTCTATCATTGATGGGCATTTGGGTTGGTTCTGTGTTTTTGCTATTGTAGATAGTGCTGCAATAAACAAACATGTGCATGTGCCTTTTTAGTAGAATGATTTATATTCCTTTGCGTATATACCCAGTAATAAGATTGCTGGGTCAAGTGGTATTTCTAGTTCTAGATCCTTGAGGAATCTCCATACTGTCTTCCACAATGGTTGAACTAATTTACTCTCCCACCAACAGTGTAAAAGTATTCAGAACTTATATTCAAATCCTGACTCAACCACTCGCTTCCAAAGAGACCTTAGATTAGTTTTAATTTTTCAGAGTGCAAGTTTCCTCATTGGCAAAAAGAGGATATGACAAATACTTACATTGTAGGGTTGCTAAGATAATGAGTGAGAATATATAAAGTGCCTATTACAAAGACTGATACATCCTAGACACTCAATACTTTGATGCTAGCGTAATTATTATTAGATTAAGGGAAGGCCAGAGGAGGGAGGGGGCAAAGGCAGGGTGTTTGGATAAAGAGTAGCAGGACATGAGGTTGGGGTTGAGTCAGGGATGTATTCTGAAGGGCCTCAGAGGTTCTGGAAGGTTTGGATTTTAATTAGTAGAGATCAGATCTACTTAAGTCAGATTAGATTAGAGATAATAGAAAAGAGGTTGGTGACTTAGAAAGAAAAATCTGCTGTGCAGGAGGAAAATAAAGAGATGGCTATTAATTGAAAGACAATGACTTGACCAGGCAGTGGAATTGGATATATACGGGCAGCAGAGAACAGGATTCAAGAATGGGGATGCTGAACCCAGCCACCTGGGTTTTCCCAGCTCTGTCATTTTTAAACTATGTGACCTTTAGCAAGTTACTTAACCCCTCAATATCTCCATTTCTTTCTCTCTAAAATGGAGACAGTTGTAGTACCTTCCTCACAGAGTTGCAAAGCTCTTAAGGCAGGACCTGGAATATGATGAGCATTTTTTAGACAAAAACATAATTCATAGTAGAAAATCAGTTTCACTTGACCACAGATTGAGAGTGAAGATGGAGGCAGGAAGAATGGAAGACAGATCTGAGGCCCCATCTTGAGAAACTTGAGTGTATGCTGGTGCCATCAGCTGACATAGAAACAAGAGAAGAAATGAACTTGAGAGCTTACATAATCAGTCTGGAGCCTGGAAGAAGGTCGGGACTGGAGATATAATTTGGGAATTGCATCTAATCTTGGAATATAATGGGGGTGAATGAGCTCATCCAATAAAATTAGGTAGTTAGACAAGAAGAGTGTTATAGAAATTTGGGATACATTCATATTCTTCAGATGGTTTGAGATCTATGATTTGAATAAGAAGGGAGCTGAATGACAAGAAGAGAACCAACAAGCATTGGGGTGGTAAAAAGCCCAAAGTAGAGACAATTATGTCTAAGAGGGTGGTCATCAGGGTCAAAGGCCAAATAATTCTATGAATTTAACATTAAACAATTTACCTCCCCATAGGCCATGTCTCTAATGTTCCTGGTAATGAGCTCTGCCTTTCTGTCCCATGAATTTCCAGCTGCTTACATTTTCAGTCATGTAATGAGACCCAGACACATGCACACATCAACCATGCAGCAGAAAAAGAATGACTCCCACACATCCCAGCGCACGTGCACTCAGACACACACAGGAAAGCCTGACCTGGAAAATGAATTAGTTGAGCCAAGAGGGAACTTTTTGTCCATAAGTTGAACGCTAATGGTTTTCTGTAAGTTAATGAAAATGGTGCTAATCAGCTCCCCCGCCCCGCTTTCCAGACCTCACTCTTCCCCACTAAACCACAGAGTCTCGTGAATGGCCTTGTTTCTGTATTTCGGCCCCATGATGCATATAAGTCATCACTGAGGCATAGGCTCCATTAATTTAGCTTGCAGGGTTATCACTTATATTCTTAAAACCCAGACGAATGGATTGCAGAGTTGGCTTTCCCTCACCCTTGACTCACTAATGATGGGGTGAGCAGAATCTTGGGAACCTCTGGAGGGAAGGATCAGTCCACAGTCACTGAGGCCATCTCTCTGTTTCTGGGAAGGACCATCTCAAATGCCCCAAATAGAGAAATAGTCTAGGTTTCCAGAGAACAAACAACGTTTGATTCCATTCAGAAATAAAAAGCTTTCATTAAGCACTCACTACGAACATGCTCCTGAGCAAGTAGCTGAGGATGCTACCAGGTAGGATCCCTGTCTTCCAACTCACAGTGAGTTGGGGAAAAGAAAACTGATAACAAGCAGCATTGGAGAGAAAGAAAAAAGTGCTTTGGGGGGTTTGAAGAGGTGGAACAAATACGAAGTAATTGCCTCTATTTTCAGAATGCTAATGATATGAAAAGATTGAACATGGGAAAGTGATTACTATTGACTCTATAACATATTTCAGAGTTGCTTTTATTTTGGGTGGAAAAAAGTGAAAGTTGCAATATACAATGAGAAATAATGGCAAAGAGACTTTTTATCAGAGCAATTAGAAGAGGTGAGTTTGGTCATTAATTAACTTAACACATACGTATTATATGTGTGTGGTGCAGCAGGAACTCTACTAGGTGTTGGGAAGCAGCTGGCCTTGTTGGGAATGCCAGGCACTTGTCCACATTTCCTGGAAGTCCTTCTGTTCTGCAAAGTGAATGTAGGGGTGGTGAGGGGGACTGTGGAGAAAGGGATACATCCAGCTCTCTGTTGTTATCCCATCCTTACAGAACGCTTCTGAACCTTGATGGAATGGTTATTTTGCTGATACGTCAAGCATTTTCCTCTTCTCACTTCCACCATTAGTGTTGAAAACCCAAAGGGTGGGAATAAATTGTCCATTCCACAAGCCATTTGTAGAGATGTTTAGTTAATAGACAGAAAATGCACAGTAGTTAAATGTTAATTAATTCCTTTTTTGAGAAGCATATTCATTTTATGCTATTTATGAGGGTTGTCTTGTAAACAGATTCCTATTACTTTGGTTCAACCATTGAATTTTCTTTAGTCACTGATCCTAAGTGTTCATTAATTCCACTAGCTCTAGAGACTAAATTCTCACTGAACATTACTGCAAAATGCAAGTCAAAAGCAAGGGCTGTGTCTGTTTCGTCCTCTAAAAAATGCCCCCTAAGGAAGGCGAAGTGCTTGAGGGAGCTCCAAAGACAGGATTTGATGAAGATAATGATGATAATGATAATGTTAGGGTAATGGAGATGGCAGTGATGGTGATGGCAGTATTGGATTTATTCCCTGTTTGGATGCTGAATGAAGATGAGAACTGTGGTGTAACTTGTCTTTCCAGGTGTATTGAAGGCATTTTGCGTTTTTTAACAGGTGCACAAAAATATGTTCACTGGGGAGAGAGTTTGCTAGACATTCTAGCTTGGAAGGGCAGCTGAGGAATGAATGGACCAGACAGATTTATCCATCTGCCAGGAAAATGAAGTAAACCTGCAGCCAGTGCAGGGAAAGAATTTGAAGGTAACCTGGCTTGACTACAAATCCAAGGCCAGTTACGTGATTTTGGGTGATCATGTAAATTCTGTCTCCATCTCCTCATTTGTAAATGGGATATAATTTCCTACCTTTCAGGGCTGATTGTGAAGATTTAGCTGAGTTATGGGGTAGAGCTTCCACATAGCTTCTAATGCATAAATTAGTCTCAAAAAATATTGTTATCCTCCTCACCTTCCCCATGATCATCAGTTTGCTTACCTAGAAAATGGGATAATCATATGTGTATCACATGTGATAATGTATGCAAGAGCACTTTGTAAAACAGAATCTTATAATCTTGCAAGTATTAAGTATACCCTGGTAAAACATGGGCTATTAGGAGTAAGCAGAGTCTTTCAAAAGTCCTTAGAAATCTTTGGAGTTTTTCAAGTTTCTCCAACTTTGAATACAGATTCAATGTCAACGTCATCCTCCAGTGGAGAGCTATAGTCATTCTTTTGAATGGTGGGTCATGGGGAGGCTGGAAGGTGGAAGCAGAAGGTGAGATATTGAAATTGCCCCTTTGGAACTTGGTTCTGCCATCCTAGCTATGGAGGAAATGCCGATCCATCTGTAGCCAGTTGGGGAGAAAGAGCAAGAGACGGAAGCACTGCAGAAGAGCTGCCAGGAATTCATGAGGCTTTGCAAAGTTCATCTGTTTGATGATTGCCACAAATGGCAAAGAGAGCTGGGCCTCAGCTACAGAGAGGGAGGCTGACGGGGGATTGTCATTGCTAAGCCCTGGAATGTCTTTTGAGAATGGTTCTGAACTGGTCACTTCTCTTAATGGCTCAAGCGGGCCAACTGTGCAATGCCCACAGCTTCTACCAGCTCCTGCCAGCACCTACGCTGCCTGCCCATTTGTCCCTTAGCTAGAGCTGCATCATGGCAGCTCCCTCTGCAACCAGCAGACAGAAGGAGAGAGGTGAGGCCCTTCAGTGTGGCTTCAGGATGATCTGTCTACATTTGGTTTCCCCCTCAACCTGATCAGCATGCTAATAACTCCCTTCCTTCCTGCCAAAACTTTTTATTGAAAAATTAAACCATCTTGTCTTTATTTTAGATTGTAAACAGGCAAATTAATTTTATTGGTTAAACCACTCTGGAGGAAGAAGGGGGCTTTTTACCTTCCATGCCATGACATCATCTCATCTGTCACCTTTTAAAAGCCCTGTGTTTGAAATCAACCCTCTTGGCAGCCTCTGCACTGGGCGGTAGCAGCATTACAAAGAGAAGGGGGAAAAGGCCATAAAATGAACTGACTGTTGGAAATTTAGTGATATGGCTACAAAGAATCAGGCAGGAGAGCCAGACCTGTAACAGCTGCTCCAGTCTTAAGAGTCTCAGCTCTGGAGGCAGCCAGCTCCCAACACATCATACACTATGGCAGATGCCGACTGCAGCAGGAGCATTAGTGGTTATTAGAATGGGGATAAGGTTTGAAATTGTGTTTGGGCCAGTGTGTGAAGGAATGACTGTTCTCTTCCATTCAACCACTAGGGAAGTTAGAAACATCTAATCTAGGAAGGGGTGAGTTTCTTTCCTTAACTCTGCAAATGGTCTCTTCTCTCATATGATTCTCAGGTCCTTGGGCCTTGAAAAGTTTAATCAGCACACTTCTCTCCCTAGTATCTACTTCTACCATAGTCGAGGCTACCCTGTTTTCATTGCTAGGCTCCTATAGTCTTCTGATTGTCATGCTGTCTCGGGTCGAGATTCCTGAGAAAAAAACCATTGAGATGGAGATTTGTATGCAGAAAGATTACTGAGGACTGCTTCAGGAGTCACTAATGATGAGGAGTGAGGGTAGCAGGATCGGGCAGGAGGAGAACTGAAACTGTGATGCAGTTGCCATGAGACCTCAGCTGATCCCACAGGGAGCTCTGGAGCTCAGATAGCCCTTTAGAGCCACCTCAAATAAAGCCTTTGTAGCAATGCTGATTAGTCATCTGATGCCAGCTGTCTCCAGGGAGGGACATAGCCTCCCTGTGGCAGCTTCCTTACGCCAAGGGCTAGTCTCAAAAAGGGATTTAACTGTGAGTTGTCAGCAACCAACAGTTCTGTAGCTGGGGAGATGTGCCTCAGTCCTGAAGTGGGGACCTGGGATACACATCACGGTGTCTACTATCTACGCATCACGGTATCTACAAATGTGGACTGCTCCCCATTTGCTCTTGTGCCCTCACTGTCTGTTCTCTCTCCTGTATTCTGAATTATCTTTCCAAAATGCAGTTGAATATGCTTTCCTTCTGCTGATAAAGTCATCAATGATTTCTTATTGCCTCAAGGTAAAGATCCAAATCTTAAGAGCTTTGCAAGAACTGAATCAGTATGACTCTGCCTGGATTTCAGCCTCTTCTATCTCTATCTCTCTTAGTGTGTCTCTACACTTAGGCAAGGGCTACTGTGCATGCAGTTCTCACTCTCTGCCATGCCTTTCTCCCCCTCTCTCCCATGGTAGAGGTTTTCTTTTTCTTTTTCTTTTTGTCATCCAGTGTTCCACTCCTCTTCCTGGTTTTGGGAAATCCTATTATGTGACTCAAAAGGAGGGAAGCCTATCTCTTGGGCACCTGACCTAGGTTTGTACAGCTGGGAGTTTCCACTCCAGGCTTTGTATCTTGACTTAGTGACAAAAAGCCAAAGGGACAATGGGACTTAATTACTGACCTCAGCAGCCACATCATGGAGCAGGAGTGGCTATGTGCTTGGGAGCAAGTCCAGGAGAGTTTCTGCTGCCAGCTTCTCTTGATTCCTGACATTTTCTGAGTTTATTCCTCCCTCCGGTCTTCCTGTAATTTGGTGCATCACCCAGTATCTTCCTTATTCATTCCTATTTTGGTACACTTTTGCTTTATTATTCATATTTTTGACATCAACTCATGAATAACTTACTTAGGGAAGCTTTCAATGGTGCCCCTATCCAGTGTAGGTCAATTTCCCTCTCATATCACCAAGTTCTCTTCCTCCTGAACACTTATGTATCAGTTTGTAATCAAACATTAATGGAAGTGATTATTTGATTAATGTCTATCTTTCCAATTAAATTTTGAATCTTCTGAGAGCAAGACTGTGTTTATTTTTGTTCACCTTTTTTTCCACCTGTCTAGCACAGGGTCTAAAACTAATATCCAAGCACACATTTTGATTAAATAAAAGAATAATGACAGTCAATAGGAATTGGCTGGCTATAATTTTTTTAAAATGAGGAAGATATGAATATTGAGGAGAAAAGATGTATTATTTTCCTGGAGGACTGAGAAAGCACCATCTTTGTTAGGCACTGTCTTCATGCACTTGTCAATAATTTTCTGTGTTTCTTCTCTTTCTCCCTTTTGTGACCTGTCCTAATGACATAATTGATTGCCTCTCTTACACTCTGATCCTTATCACATTTTAGAAGGGCTGAAAAATTCCAGCTTCACATTTTTTGGATCTGGGTTTTCCCACTCTTTAGACACAACTTTGCTTTGCTTTCCTTCTTACCCTTAATTGAACCCTTTAAAGAACTACTGATGAAATCAATAGGCAGCCTATGCGTGGAACCAGATTCTTTTACAGAGACTTCATTAGATTGCCCTGGAGAACTGCAGTGACAAAGATACTCCTTCAGTAGAAAGAGCATTAAATGAGAGTAGCTCCTGATTGTTCCTTTTTTTTTGGGTTTCTACCAAGCCTCCCATTTCCAACTTCTGGGCTCAAACTTATTGTCCTTTCCATTTGATCCTTGCTAGGAGTTTGGTTTTCAGATGGCCTTGGGAGGTCTGAGGCCAGAGATGGATAAATGCTATAATGATAGCTGTCCATTACCACACAGCCACCAGGATGTTTGTGGGGAGGATGAGCAGGGTTGAGTTTCACAATCTGGAGGCCACTTCAAATAGCATGACCCAGCTTTCTCCCACATCAGAGCACACGGGCTTCCAATGTGTTCTCTTTGCACAGAACTCCTTGTTATCTCTGGTCCATGGGTCCAGGGCCAACTTGGAAAAGGGATCCACTGACTTCCTCTGTCAACCTCCCCACCTCTTCCCAGGGCCAAGATACCAACACCCAGAGCTAGTCCTTATGGTGGCATCAGTGAACAGGGAGATTATCCATAGGGAAAGGTAGTTTTTGCTCAAGAAGACAGCTTTCTCTTATCAGAAACCACTGGTCAAAGAGAAGGGAACAGAGGGAGTATCCGACGGGCTCCAGAGCTGTGTTAGGCAGTTTTACACAGGTTGTTACTGGATTCTCACATTATCCTTGACAAATAGGTAGAATTATGACTACTTTATAGATTAAAATATTGAGGTTCAGAAAGGGCAAGTGACCAGGCCACAATCACACAACGTTAAAGTAGCAGAGCAATGATTAAAATTGAAGATTGATTCAAAGTCTGGGCTTTTCCCATCCTTCCAAGTTGTCATGCTGAAAGGGCACTATGGAACACAGAATTCCTGTGCCTGCTAAGAACTCAGCCTGGAGGAGACTTCTGCTTGCATGCAGTGCTAATCTCTCTTATCTATGGATGCTGCTTGGCATTGGTCTGCTGGCACTGCTGCACCCCATATGTCTTGGGATGTCTATATTCAGAACATTTTTCTGGGTATCCTATTTTTGATTGGCATGGTATCTAAAGCAGACAGGATGGTGTTGTGAAAATTGAAGGGAGCTTGCTTAAGAGTTAGAAAGTCCAAGATTTAGATTCCAGTTCTGTCATTTACTAGTTGTGCGATTATGGGAAGTTGCTTTACTTCTCTAAGCTGCATCCTCAAAATGGAAATCCTATTACCTTTGTGGCAGAATTTACTTTGTAATAAAGTCACGCTTCCTTATTTTCTTTAAGTTAATTTATAATATATCAGATTCTAAGCTCCCTTTTACCTGGCGCATGAAAAAAGTTTTCCTCAGACATCATAAGGGCTTCCCCTGTTAGGGTTGCGTAAGACTTATGTGTGGAAGACATACATTTGTGGTATGTGCAAAATGGAGGATGGGATTGGAGGGTTGAGTAAGGATTCCTGTACCAGCTAGGTATTCATAAAACCACCAGTATGTTCTGTTCTGTGATAAATTGTGGCGGGGGCTGGGGGGAGAGGAGAAGAGAGAGAGAAAAACACAGAGTCAGTCCCTAAAGCTGAGGAGGCAGATAAAGTTACAATCAAGTGTGATGAATATTATTATAGGGGAAGCACATGGGGTAACTATACTAGTCTGGTGGGGAGGTGGTATCAAGAAAACTTCTTAGAGGAAATATCATTTCAGCCAAAAGCCTGATTACGTCAAAGCAAGGCAGCAGTGAGGAAGAGTGTTTCAGGCAGAGGGAACAGCATGTGCAAAAGACAAAGTATAGCCCTGTTTCAAGAACTGAAAGAGGTTCATTGAGACTGGCACAGACAGCCAGAGGGAGGGAGGCATGAGATGGAGTTGGGCAGTTGGGACCAAATAGTTTGTCTGGTGTGGTCTTGTTATCAAGGCTCACAGGCTTCCCTTGAAGGATTTACACAACAACCTTATCTAAAGGAAACATTTATAAAGCAGAAGGAAAAATGCCCCACATGAGATTAATTGTTATAATTCATGTATATATTTGTTTCTTTAAAATGTTTTTGAACACTTTGTGTCAGACACATTTCTGTAGGAATCATCTCATTTAAACATCACAGTGACTTAATGAAATAAGCACCATTATCATGCTTAATGTATAGAGCAGAAAGTTAAAGCTTAGTGAGGTCAAGTAACTTGCCCAAGATCATACTGTTCATAAATTATGAAACCCTAATTTAAATCTAGGTATTCTCATTCCAGAGCTCTCATTTTTACCTTCAAATTTTCAAATAGCTGATCACATAAGTTGCCTGTTAGCAGAAAGCAGGATCCTAGGAATGTATACAGAAGATAAACATGTTTTGATGGTGAGAGGAAGCTAGTTTTGGAGAGCTGTATTAGAGAAAAGTGAGTGCCTCTAAAAGGAGCAATTATGATACTGATATGTGTATGTGTGTGTGTGCACGCACATATATGTGCCAGGGTGAGGTGAGTGATATAGTAGGTTGAGATCCTCAACCAACATTTTTCAAACTGCTCTGCAAAGATTTCTAATCTCACATCTGTTAAGACATATTTTTATGAAAAAAAGAGGTCTGTAGTCAAGTAAGTCTAGAAGAATCTTGGAGAATAAGATTAAATTTCTTTACCGAAGAATTTCTCAGTTCGTTTAATATACTATGTAATATATGACACTTTAAGAGGGGATTAGCATTTTTCAAAGGTAATTAATACCAGCACCTATTATTATTTGCACATTTATTAAGTAATAATGCCATGGATAACACAGGTTGAGCATACTGTTCTAAACAATCTTTGTAAATTTTATGATTTCACATTAGTGAAATTGATTATAGTAGTTAGTACAGATGACCTTACATATCTTTGGGTTCCATATCCACAGATTCAACTAACAATGGATTGAAAATATAAAACAATATATATATTACATATATATATACATAAATATATATAACAATAAATATAGTATTACAACAATTTACATAGTATTTACATTGTATTAGGTATTATAAGTAATCTTGAGATGGTTTAAAGTATACAGGAGGATGTGCATAGGTTATATGCAAATACTGTACGATTTAAATCAGAGACTTGAACATCTACAGATTTTGCTATGAGGGCAGTGTGTCCTGGAACAAATCCCCTGCAGATACAGAGGGATGACCGTATAATTCTGTGAATAACTTTTGATAAACATCTTCTAGAGGGATATTTTCTTTGAGACACAGGGATATTTTTGTTGACTTGTTCATTTTAATAGGAAAGGATCTTTATTACTGCTTTAGGGCAATATTTGTGCCCTTATGCCAATCTGAGCCTAAGGGAAAAGCACTTGCTTCTCCAGATACATTTGAACGGTTGTAGATTAATCAGACCGTCACTATTTTATTACAATGTATTTGCAGAGGTGAATGAATTTGACACAGGAAGGCTCCAAATTAGACTTTAAATCCAGGATCCAGAACCTCTTGTCCCACAACATAAAGTCTTTTGTGTCAGAAAGGCTTATCCAGGTTGTAAAGTTGAACAGAATGAGGAGTGGAGTGAAAATCTGGCTTTTCGAATTAGCAACAGCACAGAATGGAAATACAAACAGAACAAGAGGGGAAGGAGAATTTACTGAATTGTAATTTCCTTTTAAAATGTGTTCGGAGGGGCCTTCACTTTTACCACAATGTTCATCCATTAAGCTTTCTCTTTTTAGCAGTAAGCATTGATTTGTGAAAAGAATGGCTCCTGCTGGAAGATGAGAAATTCGTTTAAAAAAGAAAACTCTATGTCTTCTAGTTTATGGTTTCTTTTTTAAAAAAATCAAAAAGAAGAAATTGCCAACTTAATTTTGCGTGTTTTCACTGGGATTTGTTTTTCAAATTCTTGGACTGTTTCCATTGATAGAAACAATTTCGATGCATATGGTTTGGCAGGGAAATAAGATTTTTTTGATCCCCAATAATTGTTTTCTTTAATGTTTCAAATTCAAAAACAAAACAAAACAAAAATTCCAAAAGATAAAAACTTGCTAAAGTTTGAATGTTTAACTCTTCTAAATTCATCCTTAAGAATCATGCCAATGATACGGAAACAACCTTCATATGATTTTCAAATGGATCAGAAGGAAGAACCTTCACCAAGTGGAGTAGAGTGCACCTGGTTCCATTTTTTGAGATAGGGGCACAGGTACATCTGTAGATACTTGTTCCCAGTGACTCAGGGTGGCTGTGGTAGGAAGGAGGAAATGCCTTAAAAGACACATAGTTCTTGTAAAATACAGGTAAAGAGAGCTACTCAGTCCACCTTGCCTCAATCAAACAGTAATCTTGTGACATAAGTGTTTCCATAATCTCCATTTTATAGGTGAGAAAACAGAGGCTCAGAGAGTTAAACTGACTTGTCCAAGTTCACAGATTGGGCAATAGAACTAACACTTAAATCGAACTGTATTAGGGTTCTCCAGAGAAACAGGACCAATAGAAAGTATATGTATAGAAAGAGATTTAGTACAAGAAATTGGCGAGGTGGCTGGCACGATCCATGGAGAGGAAGGAAGAGCAGTGTGGTGTGACAGCCCACCTGAGAGCCACACAGGGCAGGGAAGCCCCCACTCCCCAGCCAAGGGAGGCGGTGAGTGAATGTGCTACCCAGCCTGGGAAACGGTGCTTTTTCCATGGAACTGTGCAACCCATGAATCAGAAGATCCCACTCACGAACCCACATCACCAGGGCCTAGGGTTTCAACCCTGGAGCTGAGCAGATTCTCAACAGCCTCTCAGCTTCCTGCTTAAGCCTGCTGAGCTCCTGGGGGGAGGGGTGACCAGCACCACAGCTGTGGCTGCCTGCTGTCTAAGCCTTTTGAGCTCCTTGAGGGAGGGACAGCAGCCAGCTCTGGGACTCTTAACTGCCTAACACAGCTCCCTGGCTGGGGGAAGGGTGGCATCCATCTCCATAGCTCCAGGCTGTGCTTTTCCCCTGCTGGAGCCAGGGAGGCTGGACGTCTTGGCCCCTAGAGGTGTCCCCCACCATTCAAACACACGGGCTGTGGCAGACTGCAGGCAGAACATCTCTTCAGGCCTGACCCTGATCCATCCTTTCTCACTGGGTGGGGTTTCCCTGCAGGAACTCCAACAACTTCAGCCAGAGACTCAGGGACCCAACCCAGATCTTCCTGAGCCTGAGCCCCTAGTGAGAGGGGTGGCCGCAGTCTCTGCGGACCAGCAGACTTACCCTTTCTTCCTGGTAGTTCTGAGGAATCCAGGCAGCCCAGATGAGTGGGTTTCCCCCCAGCAAAGCACACCCCCTCCACCAAGGTGTCATCAAAGTGCTTTGTTAAATGGGTCCTCTTTTCTGTGCCACCCAACTGGGTGAGACCCTCCAACGGGGGTTGTGAGACACCCTATACAGGAGCGATCCTACTGGCATCAGTTTGGTGCCCCTCAAATTCAGAGATCCCAAAAGAAGAAGCAGGCACCCATCTTTCTTGTTCTCCAGCCTCCTGAAGTGACATCTCCAGGCACAGGAGGGAACCCCCTGCAAACCATGGCAGCCTTACAGAAGAGGGACCTGACGCATTGAAAGAAAAACAAAGTGACAACAATAGCATCAACAATAAAAAAAGTCCCCACAAAACTCCATCCAAGGGTCAGCAGCTTCAATGATTGAAATGAGACAAACTCAAGATGAGAACGAGTCAATGAAAAAACGCTGAAAACCCAAAAGGCCAGAGTGCCTCTTCCCCTCCAAATGATTGCAAAGCCTCTCCAGCAAGGACACAGAACTGGATGGAGGATGAGATGAATGAATTGACAGAAGTAGGCTTCAGAAGGTGGGTAATAAAATACTCTCCTGAGCTAAAGGAGCATGTTCTAACCCAATGCAAAGAACCTAAGACCTTGATAAAGGTTAGAGGAGCTGCTAACTAGAATAACCAGTTTGGAGAGGAACATAAATGACCTGATGGAGCTGAAAAACACAGCACGAGAACTTTGTGAAGTATACACAAGTATCAATAGCCAAATCCACCAAGCAGAAGAAAGGATATCAGAGTTTGAAGACTACCTTGCTGAATTAAGGCATGCAGACAAGATTAGAGGAAAAAGAATAAAAGAAATGAACAAAGCCTCCAAGAAATACGGGACTTCATAAAAAGACCGAACCTGTAATTGACTGGAGTACCTGAAGGAGATGAGGAGAATGAAAAGAAGCTGGAAAACGCACTTCAGGAGAACTTCCTCAACCTAGCAAGACAGGCCAACATTCAAATTCGGGAAATACAGAAAACACTGCTAAGATACTTCACGAGAGGATCAACCACAAGACACATAATCATCAGATTCTCCAAGGTCGAAATGAAGGAAAAAATGTTAAGGGCAGTCAGAAAGAAAGGCCAAGTCACCTACAATGGGAAGCCCATCAGACGAACAGTGGACCTCTCAGCAGAAAGCGAAAAACAAAAACAAAAACAAAACAAAACAAAAAAAACAGGGTTGCAATCCTAGTCTCTGACAAAATGGAATTTAAATGAACAAAGATCAAAAAAGACAAAGAAGGGCTTACGTAATGGTAAAGGGATCAATTCAACAAGAACTAACTATCCTAAATGTATACGCACCCAGTATAGGAGCACGCGGATTCATAAAACAAGTTCTTAGAGACATACACAGAGACTTAGACTCCCACACAGTAATAGTGGGAGACTTTAACACCCCAATGTCAATATTAGATCAATGAGACAAAAAATTAACAAGGATATTCAGGACTTGAACTCAGCTTTGGATCAGGTAGACTTGGTAGACAGCTACAGAACTCTCTACCCCAAATCACCAAAATATACATTCTTCTCAGTGCCACATGGCACTTATTCTAAAATCGACCACATAATTGGATTTAAAACACTCCTCAGCAGATGCAAAAAACTGAAATCATGACAGTCTCTCAGACCACAGTGCAATCAAATTAGAACTCAGGATTAAGAAACTAACTCAAACCACACAATTACATGGAAATTGAACAACTTGCTCCTGAATGATTCCATGGTAAATAATGAAATTAAGGCAGAAATCAGTAAGTTATTTGAAACCAATGAGAACAAAGAGACAATGTACCAGAATCTCTGGGACAGAGCTAAAGCAGTGTTAAGAGGGAAATTTACAGCACTAAAATACCCACATCAGAAACTAGAGAGATCTTAAACTGACACCCTAACATCACAATTAAAAGAGCTAGAAAGGCAAGAGCAAACTAATGCAAAAGCTGGCAGAAGATTAGAAATAACTCAGATAAGAACAGAATTGAAGGAGATAGAGACACAAAAAACTCTCCAAAAAAATCAATGAATCCAAGAGCCAGTTTATTGAAAAAAATTAACGAAACGGACCACCAGCTAGACTAATAAAAGAATCAAATAGAAACAATAAAAAATGATAAAGGGGATATCACAACTGACCCCACAGAAATACAAACTATCATCAGAGAACACTATAAATACTTCTATGCAAATAAACTAGAAAATCTAGAAGAAATGAATAAATTCCTGGACGCACACACCCTCCCAAGACTAAATCAGGAAGAAGTCGAATCCCTGAAGAGACCAACAACAAGTTCTGAAATTGAGGCAGTAATTAATAGCCTACCAACCAAAAAAAGCCCAGGACCAGACAGATTCACAGCCAAATTCTACCAGAAATACAAAGAGGAGCTAGTACCATTCCTCCTGAAACTATTCAAAACAATTGAAAATGAGGGACTCCTTTCTAACTCATTTTATGAAACCATCATCATCCTGATACCAAAAATGGGCACAGACAAAAAAAAAAATTTTGGGGCCAATATCCCTGATGGACATTGATGTGAAAATCCTCAATAAAATACTGGCAAACCAAATCCAGCAGCACATCGAAAAACTTATCTCCCATGATCAAGTCAGCTTCATTCCTGGATGCAAGGCTGGTTCAACATAGCAAATCAGTAAACGTAATACATCATATAAACAGAACCGAAGACAAAAACCACATGATTATCTCAATAGATGCCGTAAAGGCCTTTGATAAAATTCAAAATCTTTTCATGTTAAAAACTCTCAGTAAACTAGGTATTGATGGAACATATCTCAAAATAACAAGAGCTATTTATGACAAACCCACAATGGGCAAAAGCTGGAAGCATTCCCTTTGAAAACCAGTACAAGACAAGGATGCCCTCTTTCACCACTCCTATTCAACATAGTGGTTCAACCTGGAGGTTCTGGCCAGGACAATTAGGCAAGAGAAAGAAAAAAAGGTATTCAAATGGGAAGAGAGGAAGTCAAATTATCTCTATTTGCAGATGACATGACTTTGTATTTAGAAAACCCCAACATCTCAGCCCCAAAACTTCTTAAGCTGATAAGCAACTTCAGCAAAGTTTCAGGATACAGAATCAATGTGCAAAAATCACAAGCATTCCTTTACACGGACAACAGACAAGCAGAGAGCCAAATCATGAATAAACTCCCATTCACAATTGCTACAAAGAATAAAATACCTAGGAATACAGTTATCAAGGGAAGTGGAGGACCTCTTCAAGAAGGACTACAAACCACTGCTCAAGGAAATAAGATAGAACACAAACAAATGGAAAAAAATTGCATCCTCATGGATAGGAAGAATCAATATCGTGAAAATGGCCATATTGCCCAAAATAGTGTAAAGATTCGCTGCTACTCCCATCAAACTACCACTGACATTCTTCACAGAATTAGCAAAAACTACTTTAAATTTCATATGGAATCACAGAAGACACTGTATAGCCAAGACAATTTTAAGCAAAAGACAAAACAAACAAAAAACAAAGCTGGGGGCATCACTCTCTCTGACTTCAAACTATGCTACAAGGCTACAGCAAGCAAAGCAGCATGCCCAGCATGATACTGGTACCAAAAAAGACATATAGACCAATGGAACAGGACAGAGACCTCAGAAACAACGCCACACATCTACAACCATCTGATCTTCAGCAAACCTGACAACAATGAGCAATGGGGAAAGGATCTCCTATTTAATAAATGGTGCTGGGAAAACTGGCTAGCCATATGCACAAAACTGAAATTGGACCCCTTCCTTATACCTTATACAAATATTATTAACTCAAGATGGATTAAAGACTTAAATGTAAAACCCCAAACCATAAAAACCCTAGAAGAAAACCTAGACAATACAATTCAGGACATAGGCATGGGCAAAGATTTCATGACAAAACCACCAAAAGCAATTGCAACAAACGCAAAAGTTGATAAATGGGATCTAACTAAACTAAAGAGCTTCTGTACAGCAAAAGATACTATCATTAGAATGAACAGGCAACCTACAGAATGAGAAAATTTTGCAATCTACCCATCTGACAAAGGTCTAATATCCAGAGTCTACAAGGGACTTAAATTTACAAGAGAAAAACAACCCGGCCAAAAAACGTGAAAAAAAGCTCAATATAATGGATTATTAGAGAAATGCAGAGAAAAACCACAATAAGATACCATGTCACGCCAGTCAGAATGGCAATTTTTAAAAAGTCAAGAAACTAATAGATGTTGGCAAGGCTGTGGAGAAATAGGAACGCTTTTACCCCATTGGTGGGAATGTAAACTAGTTCAACGATTGTGAAAAACAGTATGGCGATTCCTCAAAGATCTAGAACCAGAAATACCATTTGACCCAGCAATTCCATTACTGGGTACATACCCAAAGGAATATAAATCTTTATAAAGACACATGCACATGTATGTCTATGGCAGCACTATTTACAATAGCAAAGACATGGAACCAATCCAAATGCCCATTAATGATAGACTGGATAAAGAAAATGTGGTACATATACACCGTGAAATACTATGCAGCCATAAAAAGGAATGAGATCATGTTTTTTGCAGGGACATGGATGAAGCTGGAAGCCATCGTCCTCAGCAAAGTAACACAGGAACAGAAAATCAAACACTGAATGTTCTCACTCATAAGTGGGATATGAACAATGAGAACATATGGACACAGGGAGGGGAACAACACACACCCAGGCATGTTAGAGGGTGGAGGGACAAGGGGAAAGAACTTAGAGGATGGGTTAATAGGTGCAGCAAACCACAAAGGTACACGTATGCCTTTGTAAAAAATCTACATGTTCTGCACATGTATCCCGGAACTTAAAAACAAAAAACAAACAAAAAAGAAATTGGGTCACATTGTTGTAGAGACTGACAAGGGTCAGGATTTGCAATTGGCAAGCTGAAGACCCAGGAGGGCCAATGTTTAGTTCTTGTCTGAATCCAAAGGCCTAAGAACCAGGAGAGCTGATGATGTAAGTTCCAGCAGGCTTGAGATCCAGGAAAAGCCCATGTTTTAGTCCAAGTTCTAAAGTCCAGAAAAAACCAATGTCCTAGCACAATAGCCAGGCAGTGGGAATTTCCTCTGACAAAACCGTTTTGTTCTCTTTTGGTCTTTAGTTGATTGGATGAGGCCCATTCACATTAGAAAGAGCAATCTGCTTTATTGAGTCTACTGATTCATAAGGTAATCTCATTCAGAAACATCCTGACAGACAAACCCACAATTCTGTTTGGCTAAATATCTGGGTATCCTACGGCTCAGCTAAGTTGATACATAAAATTAACCACCACACAGGTCTTCTGAGTCTAAATTCCAGGTTCTGTTGGTTTAATTACAATATTAAATCCCCTTTCTGAATCCATTTTTGAAGCTGCTCTTGTCCATGCTCTTGTTATGTACATATTTCTTCAACAGTTTTACCTATCGTAGTTCATGATGTTTGTATGCATGACTCTGTCGATCAAGTCTTTCTCTTCACAAAGTTTTATGTTCATATTGATCCTTTACAGATAAATAAAACTAAAGGGCTTGCTTCCCCTGGCCACCCCCCACCCCCGCCCCCCGCCCCGAGTCTTGCTCTGTCACCTAGGCTGGAGTGCAGTGGCGCAATTTCGGCTCACTGCAACCTCCACCTCCCAGGTTCAAGTGATTCTCTTGCCACAGCCTCCTGAGTAGCTGGGATTACAGTTGCACATCACCACGCCTGGCTAATTTTTTTTTGTATTTTTAGTAGAGATGGGGTTTCACCATATTGACCAGGCTGGTCTTGAACTCCTGACCTTGGGTGATCCACCCGCCTTGGCCTCCCAAAGTACTGGGATTACAGGCTTGAGCCACAGAGCCCGGCCAGACTTAAGGACTTTTTGTTTGGTTGTTTTGGTCTTTTTTTACCCGCCGCCCCTCAATGGGACACTTGGCCATGTTTGCAAAACATTTTTGGCTGTAAAAACTGAAGTGGGAGGGTACTTCTGGCATGTAGTGGGAAGAGGGTAAGGATGTGGCTAAACATCTTGCAATGCATAGAATTGCTTCCCACAGCAAAGAATTAGATAACCTCCAATGTCAATTATGTCAAGGTTCAGAAACTCTGCTCTAGTGTAAGTGTCCTTAGGGTTCACTGTGGCTTTTGGGACATCTGTACATACCATGAAAACATATGCAAACTTATATATATTTAGCATGTACTTTTTTTTTTTCTGTGGAGAGTCATGGCTTTCTTCAGATTATGACAGCTTCATGCCTTCCACGGTAGGTGTGGTATCTTGATACCTAATATCAAGCTTCTTCTCTTGTCCCTTCCTGCACTGTAGAAACTTGATGGTTAGAAACTATCTGTATAGTTATTGTAATGGATATAAATTTAGTTCTCCCAAGTATATGCTTTAGGTTTATAAAGCTGAAGTGAGGCACGGACCATATTTCTGCTGTTTTGGTTGTTTTCTGCCGGTATAACATTGGATTTTCAATATTACCTTTCCAGGGACCACTCAAGAGCATCATGGGTGGTAAGAGGCAGTATGGTGGCAGTGGCAATGAAGGCCTTGGTATTGTAATATTAGATCACCATTGCAAGAGTATGTTCATGAAGACCACAGTTCCAGAAGCAGCCTTCTTATTCCCTACCTTCCTGTTAGAGGTGGGGATAACAGCTCCCTTGATGAATCATTGAATAGTTTTCTAGGAGTCATTTCTGGAGGCTCAGCCTAGAACCTGTTCCTCCAAACTCTCTAAAATTTTGAAAGGACCTAGTTCCCCATATTGAATCTCATTCACTTAAAATACTAAATCAGGTGTCTGTTTCTCATAACTGGATCTTGCCGATGCACTTCTGAAAAGTTGAGAATTGCTAATTTGCTGGACTGCTGGCCTAATGGGGTTGCTGATTCTTTTTTCATCTATCTAGATGGCAAGTTTTCCTGGCTTTCTAAGTCAGAGAGCTGTTCAGAAATGTTTGACCTGGAATATTACAGTAAGCTTGTCATTGTAGAGAATTAGAAAACACCCAGTGCAAAACAGACATTACTTATATAGAACTGTTTACTGGATATGCAAGAAATATTAAAAGGTTAACAGTGAAAAGGGCCTTAGAGACTGTCTAGTCAATTTGTTTTGCAACAGTAGAAATTCATGGAACATTTCGGGTTATCACAATCACTGGGGAGTGCTAGTGGCATTTAGTGTCCAGAGGACATGGGTACTAAATACCCTGCCATGTGCTGGACAGACTTACATCATAAACAACTGTTCCTTGCCTGCCAATGTCCATAGCACTCACATTGAAAAATGTCAGCCCAATCTCCTAATCTCCTTGTTTTCCCAAAGAAGCAAGTTGAGCACAGAACAATGAAACAATTTCCCTAAGGTCATAAAACGCGTAGAGCTAAGACCGAAACCCAAATTCTCTGACTCCCAGGGCAGAGGTTTGCACTCACCACAGTAGGAGAGGCTGTCCGATGTCACCAAGTCACCTAGGGAGATAAGAGATAAGCCCAGAAATCAAATTAAGAAGAGTTGCTGGGAGCAGGTTGGATAGTCAGTCAATGTGTGGACTATTTTGTTGTTTTGTACATGGGTAGAGTCAGTTTTGATAGCTCAGTGCCTATGCCATACGAATTATTAAATATTTTATATATTACCTTGAATTAGATAATCTTGTTGAGAAAAGTAAACAGAGAGACACTGGCTTGGCATTTGACTTTGTTTCCAACATAGTTACTCCATCTTGAGATGTTTATTCCTCAATGCACACAGGATATTTTAAATTATTCCTCCTCACTGTGTTTAAATTGCCAAACAGCAATCCGCTAGCTACCACATCCCAAAAGGAGACCTCACTTCCAGACTTTTGTAACTCTGCTATGATATGTTCCTTTCTGAGGTGTTAATAGATTAAACTGGAAAGTTTTGCAAATGTTTCTGAGGCTCTTGAACTGTCCCCATTCTCCTGGTGCAGAACTAATTGTGCAAGGATCAGTGATTAGTTCTTACTTTGGAAAAGAATATTTCTTGGCTGAGCAGAAAGCAGACTTAATGAGTAAGTTGCTTCTTTCCAGTGTAACATTCAGTCATAATCACCTTTCTCTAATAATTACATTTCTGACTTTTTTTTGAATTTCATTCTAATCTTGCTATTTACTCATATGAGAAAGAATTAGGATGGAAATTAGAACATATTAAATTAAATGTTGACTTGCCCATGTACCTATGGCCCATAGTCCTCTATACCTCCTGTAACAATGTACTGTTTCTTAGCAAGGACAATGTCTTACTACTATTGCAGCTGCACAAAGTAGGCATTCATTCACTTGTTCATACTGTTGACAAATATTTATTGAGCATTTATAATGTGTCAGACACTGTGAAGTACAAGGGATTTATCTAAGGTAATTTTTACAAGGATATATTCCCCAGCCAAAGTGTCAGTCTATTCAGGGGCATTGTAATTTTATTCCTGGTATTTAACAATGGCCCATTTGTCTTTATTCCACTCCCCATTTTGTACAATAGGTTCGAGGTAAAGCTGTTGATAATCACCTAGAACAGAGGAGTCTCTAAAGCGGTAAATAAAACCAGATGGTCCTAGCCTACAGGGAGCTTATATTCTGGTACTATAACAATGTATACTTTAGTATTAGAGGGGCTGGCAGAAAAGAAAATAAAGAGTTCAGCACAATGTCTGACTCAAGTGAGCACACAATAATTTATATTGATCTTAGTTATTAGGTGAGTTTTTGGCAGCTATTTTCCAGTTGACTGTCCATCTCATGCCAGTCTCCTTTTACTCCAGAACCCTGCCATTTTCACCCCCAGATTCCTGTACAAAATGGGAAATAGAATAAAGAAATCTAGGCCATTGTAAAATACCAAGAATAAACTGACAGACACCTTGGCTGGAAACGTTGCCTTAGATAAATTAGCTAAAATTTCTGTGTTTGTTTCTCCAATCAGGAAATGGAAATCATAACGCATGTCACCTCTTCCTCCTCCTGGAGCTGGGAGGATTAATGCGGGGGCTAGATTAAAGTTTATTATGCATGTAGGATGTAGACTTTCTCAGTGGATGACACACTATGATGATAGGCTGCTGTCCCCAACAATAACACCACAGAAGCCGAACAACAGATAAAATGATGCTGACTTTATGCTCTACTCGAAATTTGATAGGAGGGAAAGTGGGAAGAGTTCATGTACATTAAATGGAAAAAAGAAAATTAACTGAAAAAGACTGAGGACCACCCAAGAATTAGAATTAATAAGAAAAATAATGGGGTACATAGAAGGCACTTGAAAAGTAAAGGATAACGTAGGCAATTTTGTAGAGTATAGTGTAATCATGGCAGCAGAAATTTACTCTACAATGGGAGAGAGATGGCATTGTTTGAGAAAGTCAGGGCTGGGCCTGGACTAGCAACAACTTAATGAGTTGGGACATCAGTCAGTCTTTCTGGGTTTCATTTTTCTCATGTCAGTACTAACACCTGTCCTGGTCCACAGAAATTTTCTTGAAGACTTCTGAGAACAAAAAATAGGTAACAAACATGAAGAGCCTTAATACCAGCTGATTTGTGTCTCTCCTTCCAAAATTCATATATTAAAGTTCTAACCCCTAGTACTTCAGAATGTGACTTTATTTGACATGGAGTTTTTAAGGAGTAATTCTGCTTAAATGAGGTCATTATGGTGGATTCAATATGACTGGTGCCCTTATAAAAGAAAATTAGGATACAGACACACTCAGAGGGATGACCATGTGAAGACCCAAGGAAGAGGCCATCTACAAGCCAAGGGGATCGGCCTCAGAGGAACCACCCCAGCTGACACCTTGATCTTGGACTTGCAGCCTCCAGAATTGTGAGAAAATAAGCTGCTGTTATTTAAGTTGCCCAGCTTGGCACTTTGTTATGGTAGCCCTAGCAAACAAATTGCATTTGACAAGATAAAGGCACTATCCACTTCTTGTAGCTTTCCATGTAGCATTGAACACGTAGTAAATACTCAATAACTTGAACAGTTATCAATGACACATGGTAGCACTGTTATGCAAGCATAAATTCACCCATGTGGGATGACACAGAAGTAACACGACTGTGACTTTTAGGAGGTAGAATCTATTCTACTGAATAGAAGGTGAGTGAGAAAGATAAAATGAGGAGGACTAGCAAGTTGATGACTTGGGCAGCTGGGCAGGTGATGGTTCCATTTGCAGAGATGAGAAGCCTGTGGGTAGAGGAGCAGGACTTGGGGTAATGGTTCGTTCAGTTTTATTTATCCTGAATATAAGGTATGCTCCTCTTTTTAGACTGATGTTAGTACCTCTTTAAATCTATAATCATTTCAGGTTTTTCATTTACTAAAGCAAAACAATAGATCCAGTAGGACTCTTTTTCACGAGTGATCTTAGCCAGGTCCTGGCAAGTACATAGCCCCTGACTTGAGCGTACTGCAAAGTCAATGTTCTTACCCTCTAAAGACATTGTCTAAGAAAGTTGGGGAGGCAAATAGGCAGGAAGGGGAAACAAATATATAAAAAGAGAGTTGGGGACAAATAAATACACTTCCCTAAACGTGTTTAACTTCAAAGAGAAAGCAAGAGGCCACAGATGGCAAGGTTAATATATTTGTGAGTGGGGAGATGGTGATTTTTGCTAAAAATATATTTGGTGAGAGAAAGAAAAGATCCCTGCTTCTATCACTCTAGATTAATTCATAGCCTTTTTATGTCCTTTGGTGGAGTATTCCCATATAAATTGACAGACACCTATCCAAATGACTTCCCTTGGGGGATAAGTGTTTTCTGGGTCCTCGGTGCCCTTGTAGGAATGACAAACTAGAGGCATGTTTACCAAATACTCTTCAAATCACTGAAGCCTGTTCCAAGGGCTGTGGGAAGGAAATAGTTAAAGGCTGCTGCCAGGTCCTAGGGGTCCTTCTGGAGATCCCAGTTTTCAGCGAGGTGGAGTTGGCTGCCTTGTTAAGCAAGGAGCAGTCTTACCACTGCTTTCCTGTTTGTTTCTGGAAGTAACATTAAGGCTTGCAGTGCCAGTTAACAATTACTATTTAATCTGGTCTTCTAGCTAAAATATTTGTCAGTAGCAACTGAGAAGGATCAGCTGGTTTTGGAGAGACATTTCCACACCCCCTTCTGAGCCTAGAGAATGTGGATCAGGAGGTCATTAGCATGCAGAAGCCATGGGAGAATGCCTTTTATTGCAGACAGCATTTTATCACCCAGAATCGTTGGTGTATATACAAAGGGGCCTTTCAGAAATCTTCCCTGAACATAAGTCCTGGCCTACCCCAGCCTCTTTGCCCCTCCTTTGCCCCCAGCTGTTGTTTTTCGGATTATCGATTTTGCTGCTTGCTTGTGGTTGCTATTTCAAAAGCACCAAGACTGCTCTCTGTTTTGTTTTGTTTTTTGTTTTAAGCTGATGGTAACTTTTGAAGTCTATCAGTCTTTGGAGAACTTGGTGGCTCCACTGTGAGATAAAAAGAATGTATCAGAAAGAAAGCAAGATTTAAAAATATGTATTATCTTCTACTGGCTGTGTTTTCTGCTAAACAAAAGGCATCATATATGCTTCTCTGAGTTTTCAGGGTGGAGAAGGAATAGGGAAATAAAACTGAGAAAGGGCAGAAAAACCTGCACAGTTCCCCACCTGCCCCCTACCCCACTCCAGGAGAACATGCGCCTCCAACACACTCAGATACAGACACACACACGCTCATGTCCCTGCCAAGCCCATGAGAGAAAAGAGCCGCCTCAAGGTTGAGGGCTGAAGGAGCCTTGCCAGTGAGGACAGGAAGGTGTTTCCCAGGCTCTCCTGTTTTCTGTGTTTGAGCCATTAACGGTGTTAACCAAGTAAAGCAACCACCAGGCACAGCTGTTTTATTCCAAATACTTGCTGATCCACTCAATTTCTACAGAGCTTTGACAGTTGTTCTGGGCTCATAAAGGACATTGGAATAGATTGTTCTAATTCTGACTGGCACTGGAGTGTGGAATTCTGACCTCCCCGGAAACGACATTTTTCCAAGAGGAAAGATGGTAAATAGAATATTTCCCTCCTCTTCCCTCCCCTTTATGGCCCATGTTGGCTGGGCTGAATTGTTTGGAGACCTGTTTCATACTCTGTCTTCCTTTTAAAGAGGCTGCAACGTTACAACTCAATTACCATATGGCAATATTTAGAAATGATCTGAATAAATGAAAGCAAACAAACACATAAACACACATGCATGTGCACACACACACATACACACACACATACGTTCTAGCTAAAAAGCTAATCTGCTGAAAATGGAATTCTAAATTGATAGTTTCTGATTGCCATCCAGGACAAACATGAGGTCAGTAAACCATTATACATTTCTTGGTGCCATTGAAATCTGTCTTAATGGAATCAGGAATAAATATAAGATATGAAAGATATCATCTTTATTGAACACGCTGAGGGATTAGAATGCTTTATTTTGGGAAAAATGCATGGTCTTCCAAAGTTGTAAAAACTTAATTTCTTTCTGTAATGGCTCTTGATTTCCTCTTTTTCCTTTAGGACCGCAAAACCAAGAACTAGAATTTGCTTCTGCCTGCTGCTTCAGCATATCTGTTGACAGAGATTTTCCCCTTGTCCAAACTTCAGTTAGGCTCTTCTAAGCCTCATTCTCAACAAGCCTCAACGTGGGCTTCGGTCCTGCCTCACCCAGTGGTAGCAAGAATCCTGCTAAGTCAGTTTAGGGAGAATCTTGTGCACTTGATATATAGTCATGCTTAATATCTGGTCAAGTCCCTTATCTTCCACCATTGATTGGAAAAATCTTTGGGGGCTTTAGCAAGAATCCGGTTAGGTCAGTTTTGCAAGAACCCCCCATCCTTTGATGTCTCCTCATAGTTATTTCCCACCCAATGACATCCTCACTCTGCCTATAAATTCTCAGCTGCCTTTGCTGTATTGAGAATCGAGTTTAATCTCTCTCCCTATTGCAATACCCCTACTGAAATAGTCTTGAATAAAGCCTTACTTACCATTCAACAGTATCAGAATAATTATTTCTTTAATACTGGAAGGTCTGTGAGTCTTGGGAAGAAGCCCCTGGGAAACTGGGGAAAGGTCTGAGTAGCCTGCACTTCTCTCCCCTGACCCTGAGCATAAGGCTTATAGAGTCTATGTTGCCTCCTAGAATAGGTAGGCCAAGGTGGTCATTAGGGTGGCCACAAAATGCCTCTATTTCAGGCTTTGGATTGGGGAATATCGTGGTTATGGGGTGGAAGCATTTCTATTTTTTGTTTAAGCACTGATTTTGTAAATAGCTCAGGCAAACTGTAACCTCAAGATTAAAAGTATTGAAGTTTAAAAGGTGTTTTTCTACATACTGTTTGTACGTAGACATCCATATCATTTATGGAGATGCAACTTCTTCGCAAGTGAAATACTGGATTTTCTGAGCTTTTATTAAGAGGAGTAACAATGGTCTGTAGTTAGAAAGCAATTGAACCTTTGACCCAGAAATTACTCTAAGCATTACTGCAATGCAATCATTGAACTGGATCAAGGTGATATTCTTCATCCACAGTCTTCCCCACCAGCTCTCTGAATGGATCTTGTGTTATTTTATTTATTTATGTATTTTTTTGGTGAGGAGCAATGAAAGACATTATTTTGTCCCTTTCTAACAACTGTCACGTATATAAAATGTGGTGGGACTAACATATTCTCTATTTGCTTCATCTAAACAGGAGTGGGATTAGGACAAAGCAACAGAGGCACCTAGGGCACAACATTTAAGGAGATACTTACTCTTAGGGTCAGGCATGTCCCAGCGCTGCTCCTAAACAAAAGGATTTGGCCTTCAAGAAGCAACATAGAACATCTCTATTCCCAGCCTTGGACAAAGTAAAATCTTTATTGCTCTGCTATTTGATCCTTAGCAAAGCCCTGCTAAGAGACGTAATATTTTATGAAGGACCATTCAAAGGATCTGCTGTTCACCTACTGCTCTAGATACTATAGTTTCTATTCTTGGATCAAGTTGGGTATTCTCAGGACAATACACAGTTGAACAATTTTTACCTTAGCTGCTTTCAAAATTATATCTTAACTGAGTTTTCTTTTAATGGCGTTCACTTAGCTTCTATCAGAGAATGGTATTATTTTAAAAGCCACATCAAATTTGTAACTACATCTCTTGTAGCAATCTTGACAGAATATTTTTCTTTAGAATATTCATTGTTTCCTAAATTAATTCTTATAAGATTTAGCACTAGGAAAACTTTTACCTCCTTTGAGAAATAGGGATGAATCCCCATTTTCTGATAATTAATTTTATGTACTTGTCTACATCCTCTTTTTACTTTGGAGTTCGAAATGCCGACTGCCAGATTCAAATTTAATGCATATGTCTAACATCTTTGTTAATGCCACTTGATGGGACTTCTAGTCTTCTTTACCTTGGAATTGATTTTCTACTTTTATTCTTATCTTTTTTAGCCACAGTTGGATTTAGCCATAGTCTACTTTACATTTTAAAGTAGGAGTACTGCACATTTATTGAATGCTTACCATGAGCCAGGTGGATTCTAAGCACTTACTGGGGATTATTCCATTCAACCTTTATAACAACGCTGACAGTTTCTTATCTGTCTTTTACAGATGGGGAAACTGAGGCATGGAGTAGTTAAATAATTTGTCCAAGATTATGCAACGAAAAAGAGCCACCGTTTGAATCGAGACAGTTTTACTTGTAATACTCAATATTTTTAGCCAATATCTATGTGACCTATGTTTGAATGCATTTATATAACCGTTGTTTTTTCTGTCTTTGTAGAAAAAAACTATCTCTTTAAGGAGAGAGAGAAATCTATGTATGTATGTATTGTGGTTTTTCTTCTGGCCCCAGTGTGTATTTAAAAATACAAGGGCTACTGAACTCCTTAGTGCCTCTGTGCTATAGGCTTTTTCAATTAACTTTTTATTTTGAACAAATTCAAGATTATGAAGAGTTGCAAGAATAATGCAATGAACCCCTGGATACTTTCCACCCAGAATCATCAATTGTTTACAGTTTTACTATGTTTCCTTCATCACATTCATTTATATTTATTCCATTATTATTCTTTTATTACTGTTTTCTAACTATTTGAAAGTAAGTTATAGACATCATGACCTTTCACTTGTGAATGAGTCAACATGTATCTCTGAAGAACATAAACATTATTTTCCATGATATAGTTGTCAAATTCTTTGAATTTGACACTGATACGGTGCTATAATCTAATATACATTCTACATTCAAATTGCACCAATTGTTCCAAATATCCTTTATAGTAATCTTCTCTTTATTCCTTCCCTCCTCTTTCTTTCTCCCTCTCTCCTTCCCTTTTCTTCTTTCTTACATTTCTCACCTTTCTCCTCTCCTTCTGTCTTTCTCTTTTTTCCTCTTATCTTTCTCTTTTTTCCTCCTATCTAGGATTTAGTCCAAGATCATGTGTTATATTTGGTTGCTGTTATAGTTTGGCTCAGTGTCTCCACCCAAATCTCACCTCAAATGGTAATCCCCATAATCTCCACATGTCAAGGGTGAGACCAGGTGGCAATAATTGGATCATGGGAGCAGTTTTCCCGATGCTATTCTTGTGATAGTGTGTTCTCATGAGATCTGATGGTTTTATATGTGTCTGGCGTTTCCCCTGTTTGCACTCATTCTCTCTCCTGCTGCCCTGTGAAGAAGTATCTTCTGCTATGATTGTTAAGTTTCCTGAGGTCTCCCCAGCCATGCAGAACTGTGAGTCAATTAAACCTCTTTTCTTCGTGAATTACCCAGTCTCAGGTATTTCTTCACAGCAGTGTGAAAATGGACTAATACAGTTGCCACACCTTGTTATGTACTTTAAGCATTAACTGTCCCCAGACATCTACAGTTTCTACTGGCTAGGCTAGGATCCCTCAGATTTGGAGCTCCAAGTCTCTTCTCCTTTCCTTGTCTCCAAGTGCTTTTGAACTATTTACCATGAACCATGGGCTACAGATATTCCTAAACTTCAGAGTCCCTCCTTACTGGAGAGGGATCCACTTTTTAAAATATGATTTCTTGAAGTGGCTGCATACTATTCCTTCCAAGCACTTAAAACTCATCAGAAAAAAAAATCATCAAAAAGTCGAAGTTAGTTTTTATTACCTTCACCTTTTCAATGGAAAACTTTATAAACTGTGGATCAATTTATATTACTTTTGGATCAGTTTAGATGACTTTTAGTTGGTCAGTACTCTGGATCAATTTAGGTGACTTTTGCCCCAAAGCTTTGTAAGATCAACAAAGCCAAAAGCAGAGGAGTATGATTTTGAGATCAAGTATGTGACTTGAGTCTCATACTCTGGAGGAGTATGAGTGTTTCAGTGTGGTTTCTGAGAGTGAATACATGTTACACATTAGAGGGAATCTCAAGAAAAAAATAATCGGATCAGAACATCCCTGTGTTGAATATAAATGTAGTTAAAATAACATTATTTTCTAATTTTGAAGCAGTCAGGACAAAAGCATAAAGTCTTCCAAAAGTGAAATACATGGCCGTTTTAGTAAGTTCCTGGAACACATATCCCAGAGCTCCTTCAATGCATATGTTTACCTTTAACTCACTGAATTAGAGATGGAAATAATGCAAGAATCAGACAATAAAATGTCCATCATTCTCTCCTGAGAAACAGCATTTTCAATTCATATGAGATTATTTTGATGCTTAAGATTATATTTTGCATTATTTTGCAATGTATTTTAAGTTTTTTTTGAAAAAATTCTTCTCCATCAGTTAGATGAATATTTTAATGCTCTGATTTTAAGGCTGTCTTCCTCCACCCCCAATCTTCATGTCAATTACTTAATGATCTATAAATATTTAGAAAGTTCTAATGGAGCAAGCTATTTAAAGCAAACCTATAAGAAAGTCTGCATTATTTGAATAATTTCCCCTAATTTGTCTCTTTGTAGGTTTGGATACATGAATATTGAATTTTCTTAAATGAAGTCTTATTCTCGTCCATTATTGTGTTACATTTCTTCGACCCTCTTTCAAATTGATAGGGAGATAAAAGGAAAAATCTTGTTATCCTGTGAGTAAGCTATTAGACACTCAAGTGTTGGCTAAGGGTACTGGTAGGATAATAGGAAGATCAAAGATGTTCTCTTGTTAAAACGCTATTGTCATTTTAAAAATTATGAGTGTGACTGGTAATAATTGCACTCAATCCAGTATGTTGACTTCTCTTGCGTTTCATATCTGTCGTCCAGTTAGGGTTCCAGGGTACGTGTGTTTGTGGAGTCAGTGTAGTCCACAGGTAAGAGCAATGGTCTGGGAATTAGGAGGCACTTGTTTCTACCTAACCTCTGTCACTAATAAGCTTTGTGACCTCGAGCCAAAAGCTTTACCACCCTGGGACTCAACATCCTCATCCTCATCCTCATCTTCCAACGATGGTTCAGGTGATCTCTTGTTTTCTTTCTAGAACCAAAGGACACTCCTATGAGATACAAGACCATCAGATGGAAGCGTGCAACTGTTAAGTTTTAGTTGTTGATTGATATTTATATACCCAAACAACATCTTTTTATTTAATATCGATTTATCTTTATTTCTCCATTGGTTTGCCAATGCTGTCCTGGATATGAACTCAGGTAATATTCTTAAATTATAGGCCTAAGAAAATGGTAGAGCATAACACAGACATGTAGAATTTTGTTTAAATGTTTTCATTAAAATTTTAAATTAAAACAGTAATTTAAGGATATGCATTTATTCAAAATGCCTTTTCTGTAGAGCTGGATTTTTAAAATTGGATCTTTTTTTTTTACCTTCTAAATGAGGGGTTTCTATTTGATCTGAGATGACAAATTGATCTTATCTGAAGCATGATTCTAAGTCACAGCAGGTTAGAATGCTTATTGTGGTTAACAATCAGTTTCTACTGGGGGTAAGAGAAGTACGTGATGCCTTCCATTTACTGGCCCTAGATCAGATCATCACTAAGAGTCTTTTCTAGACATAGTCCTCCTCCACTTCTCTGTCTCACTGAATGACAGACACCCACATAAACGTACAAAAGGGAATGGGAAACAAAGTAGAAAAAAGCTCTTTAACTATCAGCACCCATGTACATTTGGGTCACTTAAAGATTAAATACAGTTTTAAATATTATATGATTGCTTTTACTTTGCATCACAGACTGGTATTTGCGTGTGTGTGTGTGTGTGTTTGTGTGTGTGTGTATGTTTGGTTGGGGGGTGTTGATGTTGAGGAACATAATCATGTTTTAGGGAACAGTGGCTCAAAAGGTCTGATTCTAGCCCTGCCTCTAATTCATTCTCCATATTGCAGCACAATAATCTTTTAAAAGTAGGACTTGATCTTGCCATTTCTTGTTTCCCACTGCCTTTAGGGTAAAGCCAAAACTCTTTATTATGTTCCATTCTCTCCTATTTCTCCTGCCTCCTGTCCCACCACATTTTCCCTTTCTCTTTTGGGTCCAGTCATATTGGTCTCCGTCAATTCCCCCCAAAAGACATGTGCAGTAACTTATTTCTCTCCTTATAAAGAAGGATTCTCTCTCTGCAGCTTTTTAAACTGTGGCTCTTGCTTCTGATTTCAGCACAAACATCTCCTCGATAAATACTGTTGAGATAAATGCATGCTTCTACACTTCCGTGTGATTAGGATTCCCAGGTAAAGCAGTAGGGTAACAGTAATATAAGGAAGTTTAAGCCTGGTTTTTAACATTCACTTTTTGGTCATGACACAAATTCAGCAGTTAGCTGCTGAGAAATATCCTAGGTTTTTAGAAGTTGTTGATTATAGTAATTACCTCAAGATGTAATGATCACACAACTATGAAACTAAAATCTGTGAAAAAAATGCGGTGGCATCTGATCTCCTCTGGAAGGCTAGGAGTCCTTCAATCTTTGCACGTCAAACAGGACGCTTGGTACCCTCTTCCTTCTCCCCCCCCCCCCCCACTTAAATAATATAGTCATCCCCAGAGGTCTCTTTTTGTGGCTCAAATCCTTGACGTCAACATTGCCTTCTTTTCTTCTCCTGATTCCATCCTATCAGCAAGGCATATTGACTCTATCTTAAAAATACACCCAGAATCTCACTCTTCTCAATCCCTCCTCTGCTATTGCCTCACTTCCAGCCATAACTATCTCTCATCTATACAACTTTAATAAGATCCTTACCTGTGCTGGTCTCTGATTTTGGCTCCCTCAGTCTGATCATTAAATGATGGCAAAAATAATTTTCCAAAAAACATATATTAGGCTGTATTATTGTTCCTTCTCAAATTGTCCTTTGATTTCCTGGTTTTGTTTCACGTTTAAAGTAGCATTCCTTAGCATGCCTTTGATGCTCTAAATATGATGGTTCCTGCCTACATCCTTACTCTCATCTCTTACCATTTACCTCCTCTCTTTTGATAATTTTGAACCAAAATGGCCCCCTAGCAATTCTTCAATCAGAAAACATTCAGTGTAACTTTAAGGCAGTCATGTGTGCTGTCCCCTTTGCCAGGAATTCTGTGCCCTGTCTCGACATACGGTGGCTCCTTTTCAATGGTCAAGTCACAGATCGAAGGAAGAATCCCCTCAACTCCCACCATCATTCTGTATCCTATTGCACTCAACTATACTGTCTTGATAGCACTTATCACCATCTAAAATCATTTCGTGATTTTTATGATCTACTTATTTTTTAACTATCTTCCTGCACTAACATATCACGTTCATGAGGGAAAACTCTTAGTTGCCTTGTTTCTTGCTTTATCTTAGCTCCTGGAAGAATGCCTGTCAAAGTATAGTTGCTGAATGAATGAATGGAAACTCACTTTGAAATGGATTGGTACTGGGTAAGGACTAAAAATCACTAAAAATGTTTCTGAAAAACTGTTTAGAAGAACTTTGGCTTTGTAATTCTTTTTATGCTTCCCCAGCCTCAGGTGTCTGTATTATAGAGAGTATGCCCACAGCTTTATCTTGGAGCATAATCGTGTGGCTATGTTTGAGTAGTAAAATTTTATGGTGAATTACATAATTTTAATAATTGTGACCTTTAGTATTTGGATTTTTTTTCAATAATGCATTTTTGTTAAAATAAGTAACTAGTTATTGGCTCTCCTGGCACTAGTCAATCGCTGATTACTTAAAACACATTGGTTTTTTTTCTGAGTTAATTTTCCAGTACTCTTAGTCTAAAATTCACACTTTTATGCCATTGTATCACACAAGAAGCCCCCATTGTCATCAAGTGCTGGGATTTCTAGACACTAAAGACACCTGGGTGGCAGCAACCACAGTTTACATCATAACCATCTTTTGACCTTTCAGTCAGCTGGTCTCATTCTGACCACTAGGTGGCACACATGAGATGGTGAGGCAAAATACTGACATTGACTCTGGGGCTCTGAATTTGTGAGGGAGTCACAGGACAAACCTTGAAATGAGGTTATAAAAGTCAAGGGCTGGTGAAGTGTAGCTAATTTTCAAAAAAGGTTATATGAGAAATATGAATCACCAAAATGTAATAGGGAATGTCCACTTGCATTTCCTAAGGGTAATCAATGCAAAAACCATGATACGGTAATTTAGTGATGGATGTAAATTGTCATTGCTGACCATTCTCTGGATATTAGTTTTGTTCAAGTTTTCAAATGAATAGCTTTTTATATTTTTATATGCCTCTTTAGTGCTGAGGAAAAAAATTAGTTAAGTGAGAGTTACACTTAGTTGAATTAAAATAAAATAAGAAATTTTTATTATATTTTGTTAGAGTAATAAATGTACGTGATAAAATGCAAATAGTACAGAAAGACTTATAATAAATAATAACAGTCGTCCATCCTACCTTCAGCCATATTTTCTAGAGAAAACTTTTTTTTACAAAAAGTTACAAAGTCATTATTTGTTGTTTGCTTTTTATAATTTTAATATTTTGTAGAGATGGGGTCTTGCTGTGTTGCCCAGCCTAGTCTTGACCTCCTGGGCTCAAGTGATTCTCCCACCTTGACCTCCCAAAGTGTTGGGATTACAGGCGTGGGCCACCATGCCTGGCTGCAAAGTCATTATTTAAATAGCAAAATTATGAAATAGTTTTGAGTAGAAAATAGATATGATTTTTCTTGGGAGAAGAATATGCAATGACAACTTAGTGTGCATATAATTTTGTACACTTGTTTCAACCTAATGCCATTGGGTTCTTTGTAATGAAATCATAGATGTCTGTTGAAAATCTTCTTTAAATTATGTACAAAAGATTTACAGCTTTGGAAGCCTTTTCTTGTAAACAATTCTATTAGTGTAGAAGTGGTGTGAAGAGAGAGAAAGAGAATGATGATGGCAGAGCCAGAAAATGGCAAATGATGGGCATATGGACAGAGACAGCCATGTTTCTGGTCCTCAGACTTCACAAGCTAGAATCTGGTTGGTTAATTCCTTATTGAGAGAGACTCAAGGCCAACATTCAAGTCACTCTTCTCAACCCCTCCTCTGAGCAAACTAAACTATCAAATCCCACAACTTAATCTCCTGCACCAAGATCAGCTCATCCAAAAAGCTTCTGGTGGTTTATCTGGCTTGCCAGTCAGATCACACAGGCACTGCATTGCGTGGATAACTGGAAGGTCTGGTTTTCTTTCCAGTTATAATTGCCATTGCGGATCATTTCTTAGGCATTTAATTTTCACCATTGGCCACTTGTGAGCCAGATTATCCTAAATGAATGGAGATGTATTTATTTGTGGGTAAAATCATATCTGTGAGGATATAAAACCTGCTACGAAGTCTTAATAAACTTTCTGGACAAAAATCTTGACAGGACTTCCCAGAGAAGATTCTATTATAAAAGCCTGTATAATAGAAGGTTTCCGGAAGACAGCCTCGATTTATTTCAAATCCTCAAACACCCATTTTCTATAATCCAGAGTTTGAGGGAGGCTCACAGCATGGGGACAGCATCAGGCCACATCTTCCCAGTAGCCACTTACTGACACTTCCATTTCTACAGTTGACCAGCCTCAATCATGGCATATTTATCCTCTATAATTTCACCCTCCTAGGTCATATTTTTAAAGTTCTGGGAGTGCCTGACACTACCCATTACCTATTTATTCTCTGCTTAGATCCAAACTTCAGAATGTGAATAATTGACTAGAAATTATATTCTCATCAGTTCTACAGTGATCACTTGGGCACTAAGAAATCCTCTCGAGGACCTGGTAAGACTTTCCACAATTCCTCCTGTATGTATGCCAGGATTCTCCCCATGAATTTCTTGCAGCCACTGGAGAGTTGGCGCAACTCAAGAGGGCTGATTTTCTGAGGCTTCCCTTTCTATGCTCTGGTCCTCTGCCTTTTTCTACTCCTTGATATTGGGACAATTCAGCATCTTCTTTTAGCTGTTACGTTTTTCTTTGTCATTTTGATCATGGCAGTGGAGTTTTAGGATTAGCTTTCATTTGAACTGACCAGGAACTTGGTACAGGTGATCATGAGCATATCAGCCTGAGTCTTTCTGTAGCCTGGTCCCAGTGAGTAAATAAGGCAGTACCATAACCACACAAATACAGTGTTTCACAAACACCAGGACCCCCATATAAAATAAAAGTATACTTCGTATTACAACCCAGTAGGTAGATAGACAGACACATACACACGATATATAAGTGAAAAAATTATAAAGTAATACTTAATTTTAGATTTCTGTTAAAAAGCGAAAACATAATTAATTTAAATATAAGCATTTGTTAACAGAAACGTCCTTAAAATACAAAACTAAAGGAATAAATGATAACAAAATCCTGGCTGTAACCCTGCAAATTGGTTTCATGACCTACTCATAGGGTATGAGCCTCAGTTTGACATATGCTGATCTTGAATAGGTTAAAGGAATGCTTCCTTGTTACTTTGGTGGGTGAAGCCTCTCCTTTATAGTCAGAGACTGCCATCTTGTTTGAGTGCCCTTTTGCTTCTGCTGTATTCAAGTGCAAATATGCTGCATACCCCTTGACTAAGCTCTTTGTCTGGGGAGAGATGCCCTGAGAGACGATGATGATGTCTAAGACCCTCCAGAGTTTGCCCCAATTTCTCCCAGGACCCACAGGATTTGAGGCTGAGTCAGGTCACTAACAACATTTTCCAGAATAATCAGGGAATCAAAGATGTGTGCTGTGTTATCCTGGGCCATGATGATGAGGCAGGAGAACATTGCAAAGCCAACAAGCAGCTGGCACTCCAAGGGGAATTTATCCAAGACATAGAGCTAGCTAAAAATTGAGTGGACTCCACCTGGTTTAGAAAGTAGGTTATGTTGAGCAGCCAGTGCGGGAAGTGTGGTTCACCTGCCACTTGGCTTAGATAAGCTCTCACCAGTACAAATGTGATGCCATCGACATCCAGGGTATGAAGGAAGGTCCATATATTTATAAGATTCTCCTGAAGATATTCTTGTTTCATCTAGGATATCAAGGCTCACAGCTTATCATTGGTCAGCCTCATTCCAATAATCTCAAATGAGCTATTTTTTTCAACAAGGCAAGTACTTCCAAATGTAAGAAGTGAGTGGGAAAAAAAGTCTAATCTGCAGAAACTCAAAGATCTTTTTCACTAGGATGATACTGTCTAGAGGAGCTTCCATGATATTCACATTAAGTGTAAATCTTTGCTATCCTGAATTCCCCCTTTTCCCCGAAAGCTCTCCTCTAGTGTGTCAGCTCACCTGCACTTGGGTCTATATGCCCTCACAAACTCTGGATCTTAGGACTTCTTCATGTTTGTGAAGAAAGTGTTTTGTAGACTGAGATCAGATCACCTTTTGTCATCCTTGGTTCTGTCTCACAGCTGCCTACTCTTCAGAGATATATACATACTCTAATCTAAAAGCTCCTGTCTTAATTTTGTTTATACCTTATCAGGAGCTGAGAACCTGGAGGGAGAATTTTGGGTTTGTTCTACCACTGGCTTCTGCAGCTTCTCTGTGAAACAAGGCAGCTACATGGAACTGTTGGTATTTTTAGTTCTAGAAGTAATCTCCATAACTTTAAACAACATGTTTGTACATACCTCTGCATTATTTCAAATGATAATTTGCATTATATTTGAGCCATCACTATCTTGTTCAGTTTAATTTTTTCTTAGTTTTTCCTCTTCATTCAGTCTGTCTCAAACCAAAAGACTAGCTGTAAATGCAAACCAAAGTACACTTAGGGTATTTACTTGAAAAGTTCAGAAATACTCCTCTTCATATGCCTTGGGAAACTGCTTTAATTTCCATGCATACCTCTGGCAGTATATCCTATAAGAAGCCATGAACACTCAGAAGCATCATGGAGACTGTAAGTGGAACTAGCAGATGCACTTCCAAGGCCTACACCTTGCCCCTAACACCCCATTCCTGTCCTATAAGTTCAATTTGAGATATAGCTTTGCTTTTTTCTTCTTTTTTTATTATTTTACTTTAAGTTCTGAGATACAGGTGCAGAATGTGCAGGTTTGTTACATATGTATACATGTGCCATGGTGGTTTTCTGTACCTATCAACCCATCATCTAGGTTTTAAGTCCCACATGCATTAGGTATTTGTCCTAATGCTCTCCCTCCCCTTGGCCCCCATCCCTGACAGGCCCCGATATGTGATGTTCCCCTCCCCGTGTCCATGTGTTCTCATTGTTCAACTCCCTCTTATGAGTGAGAACATGTGGTGTTTGGTTTTCTGTTTCTGTGTTAGTTTGCTGAACATAGTGGTTTCCAGATTCAACCATGTTTCTGCAAAGGACATGAACTCATTCTTTTCTTTTTTTATGGCTGCATAGTATTCCATGGTGTATACGTGCCACATTTTTTTTAATCCAGTCTATATTGATGGGCATTTGGGTTGGTTCCAAGTCTTTGCTATTGTAAATAGTGCTGCAATAAACATATGTGTGCATATGTCTTTATAGTAGAATGATTTATATTCCTTTGGGTGTATACCCAGTAATGGGATTGCTGGGTCAAATGGTAATTCTGGTTCTAGATCCTTGAGAAATCTCCACACTGTCTTCCACCATGGTTGAACTAATTTACACTCCCACCAACAGTGTAAAAGCTTTCCTATTTCTCCACAGCCTCACCAACATTTGTTGTTTCTTGACTCTTTAATGATCAACATTCTAACTGGCATGAAATGTTATCTCATTGTGGCTTTGATTTGCATTTCTCTAATGACCAGTGATGAGCTTTTTTTCATATGTTTGTTGTCTATATAAATATCTTCTTTTGAGAGGTGTCTGTTCATATCCTTTGCTCAGTTTTTGATGGGGTTTGTTTTTTTCTTATAAAATTAGGTTTTTTGTAGATTCTGGATGTTAGACCTTTGTCAGATGGATAGATTACAAAAATTTTCTCCCAATCTCTAGGTTGCCTGTTCACTCTGATGATAAGTTTCTTTTGCTGTGCAGAAGCTCTTTAGTTTAATTAGATGCCATTTGTCAATTTTGGCTTTTGTTGCAATTGCTTTTTGTGTTTTAGTCTTGAACTCTTTGCCCATGCCTATGTCTGAATGGTATTGGCTAGGTTTTCTTCTAGGGTTTTTATGGTTTAGGGTTTTACATTTAAGGCTTTAATCAATATTGAGTTAATTTTTGTATAAGGTGTAAGGAAGGGATCCAGTTTCAGCTTTCTGCATATGGCTAGCCAGTTTTTCCAGCACCATTTATTAAATAGGGAATCCTTTCCCCATTGCTTGTTTTTGTCAGGTTTGTCAAAGATCAGATGGTTGCAGATGTGTGGTGTTATTTCTGAGGTCTCTGTTCTGTTCCATTGGTCTGTATCTCTGTTTTGGTGCCAGTACCATGCTCTTTTGGTTACGAAAATCAAAGTAGTATAAATAAAGTAGCATAGTTCGAAGTCAGGCAGCGTGATGCCTCCAGTTTTGTTCTTTTTGCTTAGGATTGTCTTGGCTATACAGGCTTTTTTGGTTCTGTATGAAATTTAAAGTAGTTTTTTCTAGTGCTGTGAAGAAAGTCAATGGTAGCTTGATGAGAATAGCACTGAATCTATAAATTACTTTGGGCAGTATGGCCATTTTTACAATATTGATTCTTCCTATCCATGAGCATGGAGTGTTTTTCCATTTGCTTGTGTCCTCTCTTATTTTCTTGAGCAGTGGTTTATAGTTCTCCTTGAAGAGATCCTTTATGTCACTTGTAAGTTGTATTCCTAGGTATTTTATTATCTTTGTAGTACTTGTGAATGAGAGTTCACTCATGATTGGGCTCTCTGCTTGTCTATTATTGGTGTATAGGAATGCTTGTGATTTTTGCACAATGATTCTGTATCCTGAGACTTTGCTGAAGTTGCTTGTCAGCTTAAGGAGTTTTGGGGCTGAGGTGATGGGGTTTTCTAAATATACAATCATGTCATTTGCAAACAGAGACAATTTGACTTCCTCTCCTCTTATCTGAATACCCTTTATTTCTTTCTCTTGCCTGATTGCCCTGGCCAGAACTTCCAATACTATGTTGAGTAGGAGTGGTGAGAGAGGGCATCCTTGTCTTGTGCCAGTTTACAAAAGGAATGCTTCCAGCTTTTGTCCATTCAGTATGATATTGGCTGTGGGTTGGTCATAAATAGCTGTTATTCTTTTTGAGATGTGTTCCATCAATACCTGGTTTATTGAGAGTTTTTAGCATGAAGGGATGTTGAATTTTATCAAAGGCCTTTTCTGCATCTATTGAGACAATCATGTGGTTTTTGTCTTTGGTTCTGTTTATGTGATGGATTATGTTTATTGATTTGCATATGTTGAACCAGACTTGCATCCCAGGGAAGAAGCCGACTTGGTCATGGTGGATAAGCTTTTTGATGTGCTGCTGGATTTAGTTTGCCAGTATTCTACTGAGGATTTTCACACTGATGTTCATCAGGGATATTGGCCGGAAATTTTCTTTTTTCGCGTTGTATCTCTGCCAGGTTTTGGTATCAGGATAATGCTGGACTCATAAATAAGTTAGGGAGGAGTTCCTCTTTTTCTGTTTGGAATAGTTTCAGAAGGAATGGTACCAGCTCCTCTTTGTACCTTTGGTAGAATTCAGCTGTGAATCCGTCTGGTCCTGGACTTTTTTTGGTTGGTGGGCTATTAATTACTGCCTCAATTTCAGAACCTGTTATTGGTCTATTCAGGGATATGACTTCTTCCTGGTTTAGTCTTGGGAGGGTGTATGTGTCCAGGAATTC